>NC_000022.11:36739867-36891382 GCF_000001405.40 Homo sapiens | reverse complement strand
AGCTGGGACTATAGGCACATCAGCTAATTTTAACATTTCTTTTATAGAGACAAGGTCTAGCTTTGTTCCCCAGGTTAGTTGCAAACTTCTGGCTTCAAGCAATCCTCCTACCTGGGCCTTCTCAAGTGTTGGGATTACAGGCTGAGCCACTGTGCCTCTTCTCTTGTGACTTTTGATGATGAGAACATCTTGAGCTTAATGTAATCAAATTTATTAATATTTATTTATTTTTGTTTTCTTTATGAAATTGTTCTCTATCCCAAGATTTGGTAGATAGCATCCTATATATCTTCTCAAAGTATTACTTTTCTGTCTTACAGTTTAATGCATAAGTTGCCTTTTGGAATGGTTTAAGTTAGGGATCCAATCTCATTTGTTTTGTGTTCCATATGGCCTAGCAATTGCCCAAGCACCATTATGTGATTTGATTTCTCTTCCCCCAACTAATCTGCAAATCTACCTTTTTTTTTTTTTTTTTTTTTTTTTTGAGACAGACTCTCACTCTGTCACCCAGGCTGGAGTGCAGTGGTGTGATTTTGGCTCACTGCAACCTCCGCCTCCCGGATTCAAGCGATTCTCCTGCCTCAGCCTCTTGAGTAGCAGGGATTACAGGTACATGCCACCACACCTGACTAATTTTTGTATTTTTAGTAGAGAAGGGGTTTCACCATGTTGGTCAGGCTGGTCTCAAACTCTTCACCTTATGATCTGCCCGCCTTAGCCTCCCAAATTGCTGGGTTTACAGGCGTGCGCCACTGTGCCCGGCCAAATCTACTTCTATCACATATCAAGTATTTCTGGGCTCTCTATTCTGTTCCATAGATAAATGATCAGTCCCTAGGACAATATTACATTGTTTTCATTTCCATTGCTTTATAATAATTCTTGCTATTCTAGAGGTCATCTCCCATCACTTTATACATCTTCAGGAGTAACTTGGCTATTTCAAGTCCTTTGCTCTTCTATATAAATGTTAGAAAAAGTTTATGAAAATATATACAAAAACAAAATAAAACAAAAAGAAGAAATAAATTATTGGGATTTTTTTCTATTTGCATCAAACCTATGGATAGCTATAGATCAGTTGGGAGAACTGGCAGCTGTGCAATATTAGCCTCCTATTCATGAACATGGGTTGTCTCTCCATTTATTTCAGTTTTCTTTAATCTTTCAGTTAAGTTTTACCATTTTCTACATACAGGTGTTGCCTACCTTTGGTTAGATTTATTTCCAAGTACGTTAAGGTTTTATTGATGTTGTAAATGGCATCTCTTTTAAGAATTCTTTTCAAATTATTTATTGCTGTCGTCTAGAAAGGCAATCAACTTTTAATGTTAGCATAATCAGCCACACAGTGACGCACTCTTATCACAGTGAATGATTTGCCTATACATTCTATTGGGTTTTCAATGTAGACGATTATAGCAAATGTGAATAATGACAGATATGCTTTTGCCTTCCAATTCTTAGGCTTTTATTTCTTTTTAATGCCATGCTGCGTGGCTGGGGCCTCCAGTGTTGGTAGATGAGCGATAGTGGACATTCTTGCCTTTCTACCATGTAAAGGAACTGCTGCTATATTCAAATGTGCTCCTACTAAATGTTAGAATGATGTTTGCTGCAGATTTTCTTGAAGACAGCCTTTATTAAATGAAAGGCATCGCTTTTATTCCCAGTATACTAAGAGGTGTGTGGGTATGTGCACGTGCGTTTAATTTAAATTCATGAATAGGTCTTGAATTGTATCAAATTATTTTCCCCGCATCTGTTGAGTTGATCATATAGTTTTTCTCCTTTATTCTTTTATGTGGTGGTGAATAATTTTTTTTTTTTTGAGGCGGAGTCTCGCTCCGTCGCTCAGGCTGGAGTGCAGTGGCGCGATCTCGGCTCACTGCAAGCTCCGCCTCCCGGGTTGACGCCATTTTCCTGCCTCAGCCTCCCGAGTAGCTGGGACTACAGGCGACTGCTGCCACGCCCGGCTAATTTTTTGTGTTTTTAGTAAAGACAAGGTTTCACCGTGTTAGCCAGGTCGATCTCCTGACCTCGTGGTCCACCCGCCGAACGAGGTCGATCTCCTGACGTCGTGGTTCACCCGCCTCGGCCTCCCAAAGTGCTGGGATTACAGACGTGAGCCACCGCGCCCGGCATGAATAGTACTTATACATGTTTAGATGCAAATCTTTCCTTGTATGTCTGGGTTAAACCTAATGTAGGCATTTATATTGTCTTTGTGTGTATGTGTGTTTCCTGCTGAATTTAGTTTGCTAAAGTCTCTATCTTCATATATGTGATTGATTTATAATTTTTACTACTTGTACTGCTTTTGCATATTTGGGAATTGCTGTGGTCTGAATGTGTCCCCTAAAATTAATGTGTTGGAAACTCAATTTCCAATGTCACAGTGTTGGAATGTGGAAGTTTTTGGGAGGTGTTTAATGGATTAATACTGTTATAAAAAGGCTTTGCAGGAATGGATTTACTCTTTTCCTTTTCTGCTCTTCTGCCATGTGAAGACATAGTGTTCCTCCCCTCTGGAGGATGCGGCGCTCAAGATGCCATGTTGGAAACAGAGAAACTGGACCCTGATCTACCGGTGCCTTGACCTTGGACTGCCCAGCCTCCAGACCTGTGTGAAATAAATTTATTTTCTTTATAAATTATCCAATCGGTGGTATTCTGCTATAGAAGCACAAAACAGACTAAGACAGGCAAGAAGATTATTCTGGCTGCATAGATGAGTTGGGAAATAGTCTATCTTCTATTTTCTGGAAGATTTTTTTGTAATGTTAGCATAATCTGCTGTTCTAACGTTTGGTAGAACTTGCCCATAAAACTGTATGTGCCTGGGGAGGCAACATTTCAACTTCAATGTATTTAATAGTTAAAGGAAAATTCAGTCTCTCTATTCTCTTGATTTTTTAAACCAAATTATACTATTCTAAGTATTTGTTTAACCTAAATTTTAAAATTTAGAATATAAAGCTTTTGACGAAATTCTCAGTGTATTTTAAACCTCTGTTTCATCTATAATTATGGTTCATTTACATTCCTAATACTATTTTTTCTTCTTTCTTTTTATCTTCATCAGTTTTACCATAGTCTTTCCTAAGAACCCAATTTTGGCTTTGTTGACCTTTTCTATTGTATTTTTTGTTGTTGGTTGTGGTGATCTTGAGTTCTGGCCTTATCTTTATGTCTTTACTTCTCTCCTTGAGCTAATTCTATTGTTTGTTTGTTTTTGTTTTTTTACTTCTGATTTTGGAAGTTTAGCTTGTTAATTTTCAGCTATTTTTCTTTTATGTACTTTCTGTATTGTTATATTTGACTATTAAAAGTGTTTTTTTAAGCCTGTATATGCAAAGTGACCTGCAAACATAGGAGCCAGGATACCAAAGAAGGAAGCAGACGAATCCAGCTTGTTATAGGATGGTTTTATTTGGGAACTTAGGGACTGAAGGATGGTCTTGGGCAGCTGTGAGACAGGTAGATCTCTACACTATTATCCCCCAGACCCAGGGATTATACACCATAAAGAAAGGGTAGCACGCTTAATTTGATCTAAAGGCAGGATTTATGGTAGGCATATGTTCTCACACAAAGAACAATAGATAAAATGGAAATCTTAGCGGCATTCCCAGAACCGGGGTTAATCAGAAGTCAACATGGTGGATTAGCTTCCAAGATGGAGTCACTTTAGCCTCCTCACTGTGACTCCTACACCTTTATTTCCCTCGCTGTTTATTTTGGGAAATGTCTCTCTGCTGCCTTAATGTGTCCCCTCAGGAGAATGCTGCAGATGCTGGAGCAGTGAGCAGCAGCCTCCCTGTCCTGGGGTTATTGTTCTCACTTACTTTCTTGTAACACTCTAGTGCAGTGAAAACTACCATCATCTCTTGAACAAACTTTCTCTTTATTTCATGGGCTACAAGGAAGAGATAAAATGCTGTATCACTACACACCACAGGTGTTAGGCCTTATACCTGACGACGCATGATGTTCTGTGGAGGTGGTTTTACCAGACGTAAACAGGATGCTTCAGTTTGAGAAACCTCACCCTTGTTATCTGTTGATTTTGATTCACTCCCTTAGCTTGTCTAGGTCTCTAAAACTGAAGGACATGAAAGACAAATGAATCTGCACAAAACGTGCAAGGATACTTTAAAAAGAAAAAGAAAAAAAAGTGTTTTTTTAAAGTCCTCACATGGCCAAGCATGGTGGTTCACAACTGTAATCCCAGCAGTTTGGGAGGCCGAGGTGGGTGGATCACTTGAGGTCAGGAGTTCAAGACCAGCCTGACCAACATGGTGAAACCCCATCTCCACTGAAAATACAAAAATTAGCTGGGTGTGGTAGTGCATCCCTATAATCCCAGCTACTTGGGAGGCTGAGGCAGGAGAATCGCTTGAACGCGGGAGGCAGAAGTTGCAGTGAGCCGAGATTGTGCCACTGCACTCCAGCCTAGGCGACAGAGCAAGACTCCAACTCAAAAAAACCCCCAAAAACAAACAAACAAAAAATAAAATCCTCACATGTTTAAAAATTTTAAAACACACTTCTAAGTAACTGATAGCTCAGATAATATCCTAATTGAATTTAAATAGTAGTTACAATCAAATGACAATAGGGCATATGAAAACTTGTGGCATATACAAAGTGATATTTTTTAGAAATTTGAACCATTTGACCCTCCTTGTGCCACTGAGCCAATAGGTGGAGAAAGAGGTGGAGAAAGGTGGATCATCTGAGGTCAGGAGTTCAAGACCAGCCTGGCCAACATGGTGAAACCCCGTTTCCACTAAAAATACAACAAAAAAAAAATTAGCTGGACTTGGTGCTGGGTGTCTGTAATCCCAGCTACTTGGGAGGCTGAGGCAGAAGAATCACTTGAACCCGGGAGGCAGAGATTGCAGTGAGCTGAAATTGTGCCACTGCACTCAAGCCTGGGCAACAAGAGCAAAACTCCATCTCAAAAAAAAAAAAAAAAAAAAAAAAAAAAAAGAAAAAAAAAAGAAAAGAAAAGAAAAAAGAAAGGAGGTAGACAGGACTATGTGTGGTCCCACCGTGATTCACATAGGTGCCTCTCAGTATTTTCTTACCCAATAGTCCTGGTCAATGGAATACTGAGGCAATCTGATAAAGACAAGTCTAACGAGAACTCAGATCCCATAGGAATGAAGTCTTGAGTTGCTCCACCACATAAAGACCCTTATTTGACCCATGTACTGGCAGAGGAAAGAGGAACATGAAATGAACACTGGGAACAGGTAGCTCAAAATATCAGCTTTGGACCTGTGACCAGCTGCGGATGCAGGGGCTCTAACAGCCATGCGTATATTACTTCATTCATCATGCCTCCACTGCTTTATATAAAGAATACCCGTAGCAGCTCACACTTTGGGTTTCAGGTGGGAGTATGTCTGTATGGATATGATCCTAAAATGCCAAAATAGCTGATGGGAATTCCTGTGTTCCCTGTCTTGGGAACATGGAGTTTTCACTTGGCTGAAGGATAAGCGTATATAATGAGGGGCAAAACGGGTGGAGGATGCCAGATATCTTCATTTTTCCCCACTCACATCTACACTGTGCTCTCTTCCGCCCTGCTGTCTACCTTGGGAAGCTAACCTGTGTGGATTACAACAGCCTGGCCCTAGGGCTTCCAGTTTTGTTTGGCAGTAGGGAACCCCTCCCCTGAGATCAGAATGGGGAAGGAGAGGAGGGCGGGGTATTTGTTCCTCTGATCGCCTCCCAGCGGGGTTACTTTGGGTCAATCTCGCCCACCAGTCAAAGATCACCAGTCCTTCTAAGGAGGCCATGTCTACACAATCCCCTCCTTCCAGGTTTTGTAGACACTCCTTCCCTTTATTCCTTTGGGCTCAGGAATGTAACAGGTCTGAGGTCCTATCCCTGGGATATTGAACTATTCCTTGAGGTTTTCCTGTGTGTTGTCTACGTCTTTGTAAACAGTCCCTTTATTAAACACACCTTGAATTATCTTAACTTGAGGATGCCAGATATTCCCTCCTGGACATCTCATGATGTACCAGGAACAGGGTCCCCAAACCAAGAAGCACACTGCAATCAATTGCCTTTTTAATGACTTCTTCCAGCATCCTATTCCATGAGATGCCTACTTGAGAAGCCTGTTTCTAATTGGGTAATTTTCCATTATCTCCTGCTCACCATTAATTGAGAATTGCTCAAGGCCCATAATTAACTAATTAAATATTCACCATATTTTTAATGGGAATGTTTTACTCTGTGTTAATTGTGTAGTCATTATCATCACAGTAACCCTTATCTGTATTTGTTAGCAACTTCCCCACTATGCAAAGAATGAACAATAGCTGAATCACGGTGTTTGACATTTCTTTGGTATCAGTTTTTCTCAGTTATTTCCACTTTTAGCTGATAAACTTTTTGTGCAAGAATGAAGTCTTACATCATCATTTTCTCATAAGTCACAAAAATTCTCCAAAACCTTTATGTACAGACTTGTTTGCAAGCATCAGTATAGTCAGAATCTGTGTCAAATGTGTTAATGTATAATCAGCATCATTCCAAACACTGTCAATTGTGTACATGACATTCTTAACACTGGACTCTTTCGGGAGCCATGGAATCTTAGGTTCTGTGATGGTAGCAAGAGCACAGCCTGAAAAAAAGTGTTTACCCTTCCTCTAAACTTCTTTGCACTTAGGCTAAAATGCACATATCCCCCAAGGGGAAATAAAAGCTGAAACTGCTTTTCCACAAGATGTTTAGGGAGGGAGTATGCATAGCAGTTTCCTAGGAATGATAACATCTAACAATTGTTTTTTCCAAGCTAGAATCCCTGCAATGAGTTTGTACCGCTGGTATAAAAATGTTATTAATCAGTCAGAAAATATTTCTCTGGTTACTCATGGTGTCTAGTATGTGTACTGACAGACGGTAAATTGGATACATCCTACAAAGATGGTGGATGTAGGCTTTTTCCAGTTACTGTCAAATGTATCTGGTGTGTTCCTGTAGCACATGGTACGCCAAGAACAGTCAACAGGGTGTAAGCAATTGGTGGGTCCTCATCAGCCATTCTGCAGAGCAGACTGAAGCCCACTGCCAATTGATCAGAGCCAAGGTTTTCATCAGATACCGTTACTTAACAAATCCACCCATGCAATTTTCATCAGCTTCATTATCAGCAAAAGCTTTTCACTTCTGATTTTGACGGGTTCTTACTTGAGCTGTACATAAAATCAAAATTCATCCCCCCAAAAGCATCAAAAAATAAGGGAATAGCAGAGACACATATGGCTGGTAAGCGTTAACTATTCAGCTCAGGGTCAAGGAGTGCTACCAAGTGAGTTTGAGTACCAAGTTTACACAAAAGTAGATTGTGAATCTGTATAGACGTCCCAGCTGTCTTCTGGTTAGTGGTTTCCAGGAATATCTTTTTTCATACTTTTTTTTTAATTTCAATGTTTCCATGACGTTTTACCTTATGTGTGTCTCTTGTACATATGACACTTACATAGATTTAGATTTTTAAAAATTCAATCTGACAGTCTTTTTTTTTTTTTTTTTGACGGAGTCTCACTCTCTCGCTTAGGTTGGAGTGCAGTGGTGCGATCTCGGCTCACTGTAACCTCCGCCTCCCGAGTTCAAGCGATTCCCCTGCCTCAGCCTCCTGAGTAGCTGGGATTACAGGTGTGCACCACCACGCCCGGCTAATTTTTTAGTGTTTTTAGTAGAGACGGCATTTCACCATATTGGCCAGGCTGGTCTCAAACTCCTGACCTCGTGATCTGCCAGCCTCTACCTCCCAAAGTGCTGGGGTTACAGGCATGAGCCGCTGTGCCCGGCCCTGACAGTCTTTTAACTCATGCATGGAATCCATCTATGTTTATGGTATCAGAATTATTGATAAATTTGGACTTTTTACCAACTCACCCATTGAATAATATATATGTGTGTATACACACACACACACGCACACACATAGATGCGTTCATACCTTCTTTCTTTTACACATCTGAAAATTTGCCATCTCATTCTTTTTTGCTTGTTTATCTTTATGGTTACATTCTTTATTTCTTTAAATATTTCAGTCACATAATTCGGTAATCGGTAGTCCCTGGGGCTCTAAAGCTATTGTTTATTGCCTCTGCTCATTCTCACTCACAGAGATTTGGTGATCTTTGACTATGAGCCTTTTGCTTGATATTAATCAGGGTAACTCCTGCCAGCCTAAACTGGAAATACTTTACTCCAGAGGAGACCCTCTTCCGCTTCTGCTTGAAGCCAGGAATGCCACTCTCTCCAGATCACCTCAGCTCTCACATCTAGGGCCTTGGCCTGGCACGGAAGCCCCTGGCGCAGCCTCCCTATCTCATGGCCTCCCCATGGCTCTGCCTTCTGGACTGCCTCTGCACTCCAGAAAACAACACCCCAACTGCTCTGTATTCTGGTTTCAGCTCCTATCATAGTTTTTTTGGTGGGGAGTGGAAGAATCATTGGAGAACTCCTTTGCTTCTTGTGAGGCTCATAATTCCTCAAAGCCTGTGTCCTAGCTGAGGTCTGGTTGTTTTGTGGCAGAAAATTTTCTTGGTGAATGTGGTCAGGCAACAAACTAGAAGCCAAATAACTGGGTTTGGGAGATCACACCTTGCAAGGTCTTTTAAAATTTTTCTTAAATGGATATTTTCTAGTGTACTGTTGTGGTTCAAATTGTATTCTCCCCCAAAAGATATGTTGAATTTCTAACCCCAGTATCTCAGAATGCAGTGATCTTACATGAGATAGAGTCTTAGCTGGGTGCAGTGGCTCACACCTATAATCCCAGCACTTTGGGAGGCTGGGGCATGTGGATCACCTGAGGTCGGGAGTTGAAGACCAGCCTGACCAACATGGAGAAACCCCATCTCTACTAAAAATACAAAATTAACCAGGCGTGGTGGTGCACGCCTGTAATCCCAGCTACTCAGGAGGCTGAGGCAGGGGAATTGCTGGAACCCAGGAGGCAGAGGTTGCAGTGAGCTGAGATCACACCATTGCACTCCAGTCTGGGTAACAAGAGTGAAACGCCATCTCAAAAAAAAAAAAAAAAAAATAGAGTCTTTACAGAGCTAATCAAGTTAAAATGAAGCCATTAGAGTGAACTTCCTTTAATATTTTTTTGTAATGGCAAGTCTGCTTAACAATGAATATTCTCAGTTTTTGCTTATTTTGGAATGTTTTAATTTCACCTTCATTTTTGAGTGGTAGATTTGTTTTATGTAAGATTCTTGGTTGACAGGAAATCAGCTGTTAGTCTTAATGTAGTTCCCTTTTATGCGGTGAGTCATTTTTCTCTTTCTGCTTTCAAGATTTTCTCTTTATGTCTGGCTTTCAACATTTTGACTATGATGTGTTTAAGTGTGGCTTTCTTTGTATTTTACTACTTGGAGTTTGTTGAGCTTTTTGGATATGTAGATTGGTGGTTTTTTAAAAAATAAAAATTGGAAAGTTTCCAATCATTATTTCTTTTCATCCTTTTTCTGTCTCCTTCTCTCCTCTCTTTCTGGTAATCTCATTATGCATATGTTGGTACACTTCATGGGTCCCACATTTCTCTGATGCTCTGCTCATTTTTCTTCACTCCTTTTTCTTTATTTCTTTCTTAAGATTGCATCATCTCTATTGATCTATCTCTCAGTTTGCTTATACTTTCTCTGCTAACATTCTTTTGCCAACTCAAATCTACTGCTGAGCCTTTCTAGTGGACTTTTCATTTCAGTTATTGTTCTTTTCAACTCTAGAATTTCAATTTGGTTCTCTTTTAAAAAATTATTTATGTCTTTGTATTGATATTCTCTATTTGAAGAGTCATTGTTACAATACTTTCTTTTAATTCTTTAAACATGGTTTCCTTTAGTTATTTAAACATATTCCTAATATAAAGTCATTGTTTGCTAAGTCCAGCATCTGAATCCTTCCCTCAAAGGCAATTTTTTTAGTTTCCTTTGCCTGCTTTTATTTGCCTCCTGTGTATGGATTACACTTTGCTGTGTCTTTGCAATTCTTATAATTTTTTGTTGGGAACTATATTTGCCTGTTCTTGCACTGCTATAAAGAAATACCAGCTGGGTGCAGTGGTTCATGACTGTAATCTCAGCACTCTGGGAAGCCGAGGCAGGTGGATCACCTGAGGTCAGGAGTTCGCGACTAGCCTGGCCAGCATGGCAAAACCCCATCTCTACTGAAAGTACAAAAATTAGCTGGGCAAGGTTGGGGGTGCCTGTAATCCCAGCTACGCAGGAGGCTGAGGCAGGGGAATCACTTGAACCTGGGAGGCAGAGGTTGCAGTGAGCCGAGATCATGCCACTGCACTCCAGCCTGGACAACAAGAGCAAGACTCAGTCTCAAAACAACAACAACAACAACAACAACAACAAAAAACAAACAAAAAAACAAAAAAACACCTGAGACTGCATAATTTATAAGGAAAAGAGGTTTAGTTAGCTCTTGGTTCTACAGGCTATACAAGAAGCCTAGTGGCTTCTGCTTCTGAGGAGGCCTCAGGAAACCTTACAATGATGGTGGAAGATGAAGGGGAAGCGGGCAAGTTTTAAATGGCAAGAGCAGGGGAAGAGAGAGAGAAAGAGGAGGTGCCACATACTTTTAAATGGCCAGATCTCACTCACCATCGCAAGAACAGCACGGAGGGAATGGCACTAAACTATTTATGAGAATCCACCCCCATGATCCAACCACCTCCCATAAGGGTCCACTTTCAACCTGGGGATTATAATTAGACATTAGATTTGGGCAGGGACACAGATCCAAACCATATCAGGAACTGAACATTTTAGATTATATTTTGAAGCAACTCTAGATGCTGCTCTCCTATTCCCTCTAGGGCTTAATGTTTTTGTTATTTGGTTTGTTATCTGTTTACTTGTTTAGTGGCTTCACTGAACTAATTTTGTGAGGGCCGTTTCCCCTACAATGTGTAGCTTATGATGCCCCCGCTCGTATTTTTTCCTCTTGTGTTTTTTTTTTTTTTTTTCTCTCTTATCCTGGTTTCCTAGAGGTTGCACCTGGGTCTGCATAAACCACCTATTGGTGAAAAGTTGTGCTGAAGCCCCCTCAATTAGATTGGTTTCACCCCTTACTTTTGGCCGTGAATGTGGTTTGAAGACATCTTTTACAGTACAGGGTTCAAACTTGCCCCATGTTCAGTCAGAAACTGATAGCCCAGCGTTTCTTTCTCCAGTCACTCCTGAGAGTGATCGGCCTGGGCGTGCACGCAGTCTTCCAGACCACCAGGAAATGAGTGTAATTTTATTTTTAAGCCTGCCTTCCTAAGAATCCCCTCTGTGTCAGATTAGCTTATTGTTCAGCCATTGCTTGGTCAGAGGTTATGCTTCAGCCTCTTGAGCTAGCGTGTTTTGCTGATGGATCTGTATGTGGTTTAGGGAATGATTTCAAGTCTGCCACACTTTCCACTCTGATTTCTGCTGTGTGGGTGCAGCCTGGCACGAGAGCACAATCTTTTGAGTCCTCAGGGATGACTGTAGTCCTAGAACCACTATTCTTCGTTATTTCTTTATCTGGTTCTCTGTTAAATTTCTGGCCTTACATTTCTCTTGATGGCATTAGTATCTAGCCCCTCCTTAATTGCCGGCCACCAAGATTTCCATTATTTTTGCCAACTTCTTCGGCATGCTTCCCAAATAAAGTTAGTCCCCTCAGGAAAAGCTGTGGAATTCTCCATCCCTAAGGCCTGACTCTCTCCCTGGGCAGAACCTCTGCACCACTGCATCAGAGCTGGGGATGGGGAAATCAGCCTGCTTCTCCAGGAGTGATGTCCTGTTCTGTGAGTGGGCACTGGAGTGGAGGACGGTATCCCTTGATCTCAGATTGCCCCTCTCAGCATGGAACCCCTGCTCTACCAGAGGGTTAAGGTTCAGCATTCTTAGCCTGCTACGCCTATTGCAGAGCCCTTGCCCTAGGAGGGGGAGCTGAGTGGGTAAAGGGAGTGTCATGGGTTGAAGTGTTATGTTGGAATTAAAAATGACATGTTGAAGTCCTAACCCCTAGTACTCCAGAATGTGACCTTATTTGGAAAGAGGAGGTTTATAGAGGTAATCAAGGTAAAAGAAGATCACTAGGATGGGCCCTAGTCCAATATGACTTGTGTCCTTATACAAGG
This sequence comes from Homo sapiens, assembly GCF_000001405.40. Lineage (NCBI taxonomy): Eukaryota > Metazoa > Chordata > Mammalia > Primates > Hominidae > Homo > Homo sapiens. Next base: position 36,879,207 of record NC_000022.11, on the reverse strand, counting down.
GGGAATTTGGATGCAGAGACAGACATGCACAGAGGGAAGACACTGTAAATACACACAGGTAGAATGCCATGTGAAGACAGAGTGATCCATCAACAAGCTAAGGAGCACCAAACATTGCCGGCAAACCACCAGAAGCTAAGAAAAGGCAAGGAAGGATTTCCCTACATATTTCACAGGGAGCATGGCCCTGTGGACACCTAGCATTCAGAACTGTGAGACAATCGATTTCTGTTGCTTAAGCTCAATTTCCTGGTACTTTGTATGGGAACTGCAGGAAACTCAGTCCTCTCTGCTGTAATGACCTGGAATAGTGCTTCTACAACACAGGGCTGCAGAGAGAAGAGATTCTGGCAGCCTGTTCCTCCTGGGGTGAAACTGTGGAAGGTTAGGAGCTGAGGGATGAGGGAGCCCATCTTCCTGGCTGCATCCATCCAGAGTGGAGGATCTGGAGTGGAATTTCCATCACATGGAGCTGGGGGTGGGGGGACGGGAACACGATGTGTCTCCAATGCCACCGACTCACTGTTCTTACTGAGACGTAATGATCTACTTGAACGACTGTCTCTCCATGTGCTCTGTGCCCTTAGAACAATTTCCAGAGACTTTAAACAGTTGATTTTAAGTATTTCTCATCAGTTAAACTGCTGTTTCCCTGGGGAGAGGGTCCACCAAGCTCCTCACACCACCATTGTGGGAGTCACACCTGTTTAATTTTTGGTAGATTAGGATAGAAGGAGATTCAGCTCAGAGAAGGAGATCCCGTTGCTTTGTGTCCCCCTCCTCCTGGATGAGACTAGAGTCCTCCCCCTGTGTCTACTTACAGTGGAGACAACCAACCCCGAGACCTGCCTTCCTCCTCCACAGAGCAGCAGAGACAGGAAGGCAGAGGAGAGCTTCTGACCCTCATCACACAGCCGAGGACTTGGCATTGGTGGAACCCCAGAGGGCACCCAGAGCAGATCACTTCTGTGGGGCAGGTGGCCAATCCCAGGAAAAGGGGAGCAGTGGGAGGGAGAAAGGGTATGGCTTGGGGACCCTCGGGTTTCCCCCCAACACAGGGACAGAGCAAGGAAATGGGGTGGCAGGACAGGGGTCTCAGAGCCAGGGCCCCTGCCAGATATAAATGACGCCCTGTGGATGCTCATTAAATGGTATTTTACTCCCCATGAAAGACACTCTTTCCCGCAGCCTGCCCCTTTCAGATGGAATGGTTTATTTAAATCAGATGTAAATAGTAGAAAGAGACAGATTACAAGCCCCACGGGTCCATTAGCCTCAAAGACAGGAAGTCTGCCCATCCTCCCAGGTTTTCCTGGTCCCAATCTCCTCTGAGAGCTGAAGGTTTTTGCTGGTGTCCCCTCACTGCTCCAGGGACACCGTCAGCTCATGGCATCGTGTTGTAGACCCTGTAGTTGTCCTTCTGCGTGATGTGCAGCTTCCAGGGGAAGAGGCGCTTCTGGGAGGGGAGGCCACGAGCCTGCCGCACCATGAGCGCTACGTCCTCATCCGACAGCAGCCGAACCAGATCCCCCTCAGCGTCCCGGTAATTCAGAGCTATGTCCTCTCTCTGGAACTCCCGCCTGCATGGGAAAAGTCAGGGATAATCAAAGGGCCTAAGCGTAAGGTAGGGGTAGGGAGAGGGGGTGAAAAGGGTTTTATGTCCTGAAGCCAGGAGTAAGAAAAAGTCAGAGCCTGATACAAGCCCGTGTCATCCAAGTAATCTAACCTCCCATTGTACAGATGGGGATATCGAGGCCTAAAAGGGAGAAGAGGCTGGGTGCGGTGGCTCACGCTTATAATTCCAGCATTTTGGGAGGCCGAGGCAGGCAGATTACCTGAGGTTAGGAGTTCAAGACCAGCCTGGCCAACATGGTGAAACCCTGTCTCTACTAAAAATACAAAAATTAGCTGGGCGAGGTAGTATGCACCTGTGATCCCAGCCACTCAGGAGGCTGAGGCAGGAGAATCACTTGAACACAGTAGGCAGAGGTTGCAGTGAGCTGAGATTGCACCACTGCACTCCAGCCTGGGCAACAGAGTGAGACTCCATCTCAAAAAAAAAAAGGAGAAGGAGAAGAGACTTTCACGGAAATTAGTGGCACAGCCTGAAATGTCTCGTGTATAAATGTGCTAAAGGATTAAGAGTTGTGAAGAAGAGTGGGTTTGACTGGGCACAGAGTGGGGCTGTATAAAGCCTCAGAGAGACACCTGTGTGAGGCTATTGAGGAGAACCTTGTAAGGACAGGAACTGTCTGGCCTGGGTGCGGGAAGATGCGCATCCTTCTACTTGGCTGGTGTACGTAGAAATTGATCTGAGCTTTCTACCAGTAATTTCACAGTGTGGGCCAGAAGCCTATGAGACTTGCAAATGCTTTAATCCCCAAATCCACTTCTTGAAAATCATTCAAAGGAAATGATCAGATAAGTCATCAAATAGGTTAACTAAGATGGTCTGTACAATGTTGTTTAGAGTAGTAAAAAAGCAGAAGAAATCCTAAGAGGCCAGCAAAAGCGCATGGCCATGTTAATGATGTAGCCACTGAAAGGTTTTGTGCAGCCAAAGTGACTTTTGTGTGTGCATGTGTGTGTGGGGTGTAAGTACTGAAGAAATCTGAGTGTACGTCACATAACGAGGGGAGTAAAAATATGAGGTGATTTCACTTCTTTGTATCTTTCTGACATGGTTACTGACATTTCTTTTTTAATATATAATGAGTTGGTACAAGTTTTATAGTCAGAAATGTAGCAATGCGGTTACCATTCTGTAAAATAACTGTCCAGCAATGTCCTGGACCTGGGGGGGTAGTGAGTCCCTGAGAGTGGATGGTTCAAGTCCAAGGCTTTTAGCCAGAGAGACTTTAGCTCCAGCTGCAGATCCGGATCTAAACCCACAACCTGCGTGAGCTCAACCAGTTCCCCTAACCTCTCTGCAGCTTCCCCGCTCATCTCTAAAGTGGGGAGATGCTGCCTAACCTGCAGGGCTGGGCTGCGGATAAAAAGAGAAGACAAAGTACACGCAAAACCCCAGCACCTTAATACTAGTGCTTAACATTTCTCCCTGCGCTCTCTTCTCCAGAGTATCTAACTCCCCAGCCCCATTCCCAGCCCCTCACCTTGTGAGCTCCAGCAGGTCTTTCAATAGGGGAGTGCTGCTGAGATCTTCCTCCACCGCGATGTCCCTAAGGGGGTGACAGGCTGGAGTAAGGAGGCATCAGGCTGGAAGTGGGGTGTGGGGTGGGGGAAAGGGGAATGAGGCTGGCCAGGCCACCCTGGACGTTGATGGCTTGTTACAGCATTGTGGCTCATCTGGGAGCCACTGGGGGCTTTGGAGTGGGAGAGGGACCCATGAGAAGGTGATGTGAGGGGCAGTGGTCGTAGGGATGGCAGGAAGGCTGGACAGGCCCCTCCCTCCCAGGCCACAGACTTGATGGTGCTGATGGTGTCTTCGTAGTAGTAGCAACGCAGCCAGTTGGTGGGGTCGTCCTCCTCAGGGAAGTCTTTGAGGATCTTCACGAAGGAGAGAGGGAAGATGCCCGTGGCTCCCCGGACAGTGCCCTGCAGAGGAAGAGAAGGGATGCCATGCTGGTGAGAGGAGAGGCAGCAGAGCCACGCCTCAGAGCCCTCAGCCCCGTTCTAGTGATGGGGAAAGGCAGATGAGGTCCGGGTCTTCTTCTGTAGAGGGAGGAGGGAAAGCGAGGAAGTTCGCTGAGCTGGTCACTTCTAAGAAGGCTTATATTTGGGTTTTACAATATGCCAGAATCTGGATTTATATAGAAAGCTGCTTTTATCTCACTCATTCACTTATTCATTCAACAAAGGCTTCTTGAGAACCAGCCACGTGACAGGCTCTGGGCTCTCAAAATAGATAAAAGTCCTTGGGCCGGGCGCAGTAGCTCACACCTGTAATCCTAGCACTTTGGGAGGCCGAAGCTGGTGAATCACTTGAGATCAGTAGTTCGAGACCAGCCTGGCCAACTTGGTGAAACCCTGTCTCTACTAAACATATACAAATTAGCCAAGCGTGTTGGTGCGGGCCTGTAATCCCAGCTACTCGGGAGGCGGAAGCAGGAGAATCACTTGAACCTGGCAGGTGGAGGTTGCAGTGAGCCGAGATCACGCCATTGCACTCCAGCCTGGGCAACCAGAGTGAAACTCTGTCTCAAAGAAAAAATAATAATAAAAAAATAATAATAAGTCCTTGCCCCCACGGAGTTTCCAGTATGATGGGGAATGACACGCTGTGCGCGCTGTGAACAATGACCTATCCAGTGAGTCAGATGGCAGCAGGTGTTACAGAGGAAAATAGAACAGGGGAGGAAGAGGATGAGGGGTGAGGAAGGGCCTGCTGCTGATCCCGCTCACTCACTCATTCATTCATCAGATACAACTGTGCCTCTACTCTAGACCAAGTAGCCAGAAATCAGACCCAGACCCGGCCATGGCCTGGGCTTTGGGCACGTGTTCTGTTCATCTTCACAACGACCCTATGGAACATGGATTATTTACATGCCATTTTACAAACATATTAACCAAGGCTCAAAGTGGTCCCCTCCCTGCCCCTCTGCCCCCACCTTCAACCTGAGGCCAGAAGTTAGCCAGCATACTGATAAGTAGGACTTTCCGGAAAACAGGAAGGCAATACATGTTTTCTATTTCTGGAAAGTGGCCCAGAGATACTCCTCAGGCCTCTGTAAGAGCCCTGAGTTCCTGAGATGGAGATCTATGATTAGGGTAAAATGGAAACTGCTAAACTGGCTAAACCAGTGGTCACTACTAGCTCCTCTCCAGGGCCTGGACGCTAGGGACCCAACCCAACTCTTAAAGGTCCTGGGACCCCTGGGGGCTGACCCTGCCTCTGGGCCTGTCCCAGAACCTCCTTCAACACTCCCCACAGGAGCACTAAGTCTGAAGACAGGACCTAATACAAAAGGCTGGTCCCAGGCCAAGGCCCAACACAGCCACTTCCCACCTCCACTCACTGAGTCAGAACACAGCCCTTCTGTGGGCCACACAGGGACAAAGCAGTGACTGGGAAAGTCCCTGGCTTTGAAGTTTCATTTAAGTCTCCTAATGACCCTAGTACCTGGCCAGGCGCCGCACACCCAGGCTCTGGGGCGAGCCCTGGCCATCTACCACCTCCTTTACCCTTTCCAGGAAGCCGATGAAGAAACATTTACAGAAAAGGAAACCGCAAGTTTGAGCAAGTTTCCAAAGGTCCACAAAGCTAGTGAAAAACAGAGCTAGGAAATGGCCCAAACAGGCTGACTCTGAGTTCACACTCTTCATCAGCAGCTTTTACTGCTGTGGGCAAGGTATGTACTGTTGTCCCATATTACACAAGTGGTTGCGATTTCACCCCTCAGGAGCAAATATCTGGAGAGCCATGTGATTGGTGCAATTTAGCAGTGCTGCTGGCATCTAGTGGAGAGGCCAGGGATATTGCTGAACAGCCTGCAATGCTCAGGACAACCCCACAAGGGACCATCTGGCCCCAATGTCAATAGTGCCCCTGCTGAGACACCCATTACAGACCAAGAAACTAAACTCAGTAGGTTAACTTACTTGCCCTAAGCAACCCATTTTTCAGGGTCAGAACCAAAGCATGAGCTCCAAGAATGTTCTGCTGCCACCGAACACCTGCCTCCCCAAAGGCTTTGTTCCCGCAGGCTCCCCAACCTGCCTGGATCTCCAGGGCTATCCTCAGATAGCATCTCTTCCCTGAGGCCTTCTGAGACCATCCTCAGTCTCTGAAGCATACAATGCCTGAAGCAACCTCACCTCCAGCCTCACCTCTAATCTCAGCCTAACCTTACCTGCATTCTCACCTCCATCCTCACCTCCAACCTCACCTCCATCCTTATTCCCAACCTCATCTCCAACCTCATCTCTAACCTCACTTCCAACCTCACCTTCATCCTCAACTCCAAACTCACCCCCATCCTCACCTCTAATCTTACCTCCATCCTTACCTGCAAACTCACCTTCCTCACCTCTATCCTCACCTCCATCTTTACCTCTAAACTCACCTCCAATCCCACTTCCATTCTCATTTCTATCTTCACCTCTAATCTTACCTCCAATCTCACCTCCACGCTCACCTCCATCCTCACCTCCAATCTCACCTCCATCCTCACCTCCAACCTTACCTCCAATCTCACCTCCATCCTCACCTCCAATCTCACCTCCAGTCTCACCTCCATCCTCACCTCCACTCTCGCCTCCACCCTTACCTCCACCCTCACCTCCAATCTCACCTCCAATCTCACCTCCATCCTCACCTCCAGTCTCACCTCCACCCTCACCTCCAATCTCACCTCCATCCTCACCTCCAACCTTACTGCCAGTCTCACCCCCATCCTCACGTCCACCCTTACCTCCATCCTCACCTTCACCCTCATCTCCACCCTCAATCTCCATCCTCACCTTCACCCTCATCTCCACCCTCACCTCCATCCTCACCTCCAATCTCATCTCCAATCTCACCTCCAACCTCACCTCCAATCTCACCTCCAACCTTACCTCCAATCTCACCTCCATCCTCACCTCCAATCTCATCTCCACTCTTACCTCCACCCTCACCTCCAATCTCACCTTCATCCTCACCTCCAATCTCACCTCCATCCTCACCTCCACTCTTACCTCCATCCTCACCTCCAATCTCACCTCCACCCTCACCTTCATCCTCACCTCCAATTGCACTTCCACCCTCACCTCTATCTTCACTTTTAATTTCCCTCCAACCTCACCTTCAATCTCACCTCCATCCTCACTTCTGAACTCACCTCCAGCCAGTCTTTGTTGATCCGACTGAGGAGGAAGATCACATCTCCAGCTTTGAAATTCAGCTCCAGTTTGCTGTTTCCAGTGAAGTCAAATAGAGCCTGAGGAGAAGCGTGCAGTAAGGAGGGAAGGAGAGAACACTCACTGAGTTCCTATAGAAGTGCCTTACATACTTTAGTCTCCCATTTTACAGATGTAGAAACTGAGGCTTGGGGAGAATAAGCGACTTCTCTGAGGCCACCCCATTTTTTAGTGGAGGAGCTGGGAATTGAACCCAGGTCTCCCTGACTCCAGGATGGGTGCTCCTTCCAAACCTGGTGGGGGTGAGCACACAGGGAAGGGTTCGAACTCTCTGGGCTGAGCACCCACCCTGGTCCCCAGGCTTCATCGTGGGCTGGGCCTTGTCTGAGTCATCTCTGCAGCTTCCATGCCTAAGGCAGGGCTGACTCAGAGGAGGCCCAGGTAAACTGTCCGGATGAGCGTAGGGATGGAAGCATTCTCCTCTGGCTCCGCACGCTGGTCACATGCCCTCCCCTTAGCTGGGCTCGGGGGACCCCCAGTGGCAGAGGCTGAGGCTGTAACCCCTTCCTTCCTCCTGGTGCCCAGCACTGTCCCAGGCACACAGCAGCACCCAGCAGGAGAGGCCCAGTGGCTGGCAGGTGGGCCAAGGCAGATGCCCACAGTGTGAGAGCCTGGCCAGCGTGGGGGCGGGGGTTACCTCTGCTCTCGGAGCTGCCATGCGGTCAACGCTGTTGCCCTGTGGGGACACGCTCTTGCTGTGGAGAGAGAAGAGGGGCTTGTTAGCCCTGTGATTCTCTCAGGGCCCAGCTTCCTGCTCCTGTGTCCAGAGGAGCCCCTTGCAAGGAGCAGGGAAGGCAGAGGAGACAGAAGATGCTGAAATGTGGCTGCAATTGCTCCTCTGGGCGGGCACACTTGTCCCCAAATCCTCACAACCTCTTTGGAGGTGGGATTGTTCTCCCTTCTTTATGGACCAGGAAGCCAGGCTCAGAAAGCAGGTGGGGAAGGGGATACACGCTCATTCGGTGCCTTTCACTTGCCAAAGTGTTCAGATGTGTTTGTTCCTCTGCTCCCTACAACCAAGCTCTGATGTAAATGTGACTGTTTCTAATTTTTCAGCTGAGGGAAACTGAAGGTTGGAGAGGTGAAGTGCCTTGCTCTGGGGCCTGCGGCTGCCACATGGCACAGCTGGAATTAAGACACACCTGCCTGTGTGCACAGGGGAGATGCCAGGCATGGAGAGGACCCTTGGAGACATTGGTGGGAGGAAGCAGAGGGAGGAGCTGGTGGGGAGCTCAGGAGCTCCGTCCTGCTTTTCCCAGAATTCTTAGTAGCAGCAACCTGGGCTTTGGAAGCCCAGCAGTCTACGAGTGGCTTGAATTTTTGGTGGGAAGGATGGGCTTTTTGGAATAAGGGAGGAACAGTGTGCTCTGGAGGCCAGCATGATACAACTAGAGCCATAGCTGGCCCCATGGAGCTCCAACACACCAGGGAGAAGGCATTCCCAGAGATGCTCAGAGAATGTTTGTGGATGGGGCAGCTTTTCCCTCCTCTCTGCCCCCAATTCTTTCCAGGCACCCAGAGCTTCTGGGCTATCCCCAGTAGTTGCTGTGGCACCAAACTCTCTGGAGTCAATATCCCAGTCCTCGTCTTCCAATCCTTATTATCACATTGAAAGGCACACACCCTCTGTCCCTCCAAGCCTGAACATGACTTTCTAAACCCATCTAATAAATCAAATCATCCTGGAGTGTCCAGGGATATGGCTGATCTGTATTTTCCTTCTCTCCTTTCAGGGAAAAGAGATGCTTTTCCAGCAGGGACCCAGGGCTCTGGCCATGTGGAAGCCCAGGGGCTGGTCACTTACACTTTCCGGGTGCGCGGGCGGAGCCGGCGGAGTGCCTGGGGCACCTGCTCTGAGTCATAGGGCGACTGGTAAAAGAAGATCCGGACGTCCTCATCCATCAGCACCCAGACCGGCAGGCTGAGCAGGCTCTGTGTGGGTGAGACAGCAGAACCGGTGGGGTAGTCAGCAGAAAGATCTGGACACCCCAGCCTAGATGTCCCGTCCCCGAGCCCTGACATCAGCCCTCCTCTCTTTACTAATGCATGATGCCTGATAACAGAAATGCGTTGTTTAAAAGAATAAGAAAACTCAGCATGCTGAAGGTAACACTTCACAAGCTCTGCTCCTGGGTCCAAGGTCAGGAGAGGGACCAGGGGCTTGAGAAGAGTCCATTTGGAAAAGACTTAAAGTTCTCCAGAAACAGCAGTAATGGTGATGACAACTAACATGACCCGGCGGTGACTTTACCAGGTGGGTATCACATGCGCGCCCTTGCTCCATCTCATGACATCCCTTGAGTTAGGATCAGAGAGGTGAAGGGATATGCTCAAGGCCACAAAGCCTAGCAAGGGACAGAGCTGGGGCACCCAGAGCCATCTGCCACTAAAGGCTACCCAAAGCTTAAGGTGAGACAACAGTTGGCGGGGGTGGGGGGCTCCCAAAATAACCCAAATTAACAACAGTTGGTGGCATTATAGCCTACAAAATGCTTCCTGATACTTTATCTCATATCATAGTTGAGGAAACTGATGCTTGGAGAGGGAAAGTACCTGGCCCAGAGGAGCCGAGCTAAGTGACAGGGCCCGGACTTGAGCCCTAGTGTCCTTGTTTCATCCAAGCTGGTTACACCCACCACGATGCAAAGACTTTGAAGCTGTGAGGACGCGAGCACCCAGAGCCTGGCGGGGTCATCTCACCAAACTCCAAGCGCACAGGTCTGGGGACACTGAGGGTTGGCTTTGGGTGCTGAGGCTCCAGAGGCACCCAGAGCCCTGCAGAGGATCCCATGGGGGCAGCAGGATGAGGTGGGGTCGGGGAACTTTGTCCGAGAGGAACTGGGGATGCAGAGCCCGGAAAAGGCTGTCATATGGGGACAGCCTGGGAGGTGTTTAAGGAGCCAGGGGCTCCTGGGATCGAATCCCAGCTCTGCCTGTCACCAGCTGGGTGGCTTTGGGCAAACCTGGCTCCAGATGGTCATTAATAAAATGGGGACAATAATAGCCTCTCCCTCGTGGGATTGTGTGAGAATTAAATGAGTAAATACATGCAGAATCCTTAGAACAACACCAGGCATATACCAGGTGCCCATCAAAGTTAGATGTCATCATTGTTACTGTGATTTTCATTACAACGAGGCACAGTGGGTAAGAGCTCAAACCCTGGAGTCACAGAGATGTGAATTCAAATCTCATCCCACCTACCTAACTGCTCTGTCACACTTAACTCACAAGTTATTGAGGGGATTAAATAAGATTATTCATTTATCAATAAACGTGTATCAAGAGTCTCCTGGTTGCCAGTCAAAGCTCTTCACGCAGTTCCAGGCAGTTGTCATTATCATGTGATTCACATTCTTCATGAGGGCGGGGTGAGACCAGTGGGTAGGACTTACAGAGAGTTGGGCTTTTCTCATAGCTGCCCAACAATGGGACAGGCAGCCTGGGTCAGGGCGGAGTGGTAGTGAGCTCCCCATCTCTGAGGGTATGCAAGCACAGGATGGGGTGGCCATGGCAGAGATTCCTGCCCTGAATGATCTCTGGCTTCCAGGAACCCAATTGGACACAAAGAGGCAGAGATGGATCCTCTGGGCTGCTGGTTGCTAAGACCAGGTGTGGAATGAGGAGCCCCAGTTCCCCAGCCTCGCCTCCTGCCTTCTCTTCCTCCTTCCCTCCCTCCCTCCCTTCACAGCCCACTCCCCTATTCTAGCCCAGGGGGAGAAGGGTGGAGCCTCAGCCACCCTGAAGGAGCAGCTGGAGCCCACCCAGCTCCCCTCCCTCCCTCTTCCCTGCTCAGAGCCCAGGATTCCTGCAGCTACCTGCTCTCTCCTCCTTCCTCCCACCTCCTCTGCCCTCCATCTGCTCCTTCCCTCCATCAGGAGTCAAGATCTCTCACATTCTGGAAGCAGGTTCACAGTTTACAAAGCACTTTCTCATCCTGTTCTCGACAGATCCCAACTTCACTCCTGTGATACTAGAGGGCACTGCCCCATTTCACAAGTGTGAAAACCAAGGCCTAGAGAGGATGGGCAACTCACCCCAAATCACCCAGCCAGTCAGTGTCAGAGTCAAGACTAAAGGATCCTAGCCCAGCGCTCTCCAGCTGTGAGGATGCCGCTGGGCTGGGAGGAGGGCTTCGCTTGCCAGCTTCCTGAGGTCACTATCAGGTCTCTAGCGACGGTGCACTCACTGCCACCTCATGAGGAACACTGCCCCTTTCCTGGATGGCTGTGGCTGGTGGAAGTCCTTTCCTGACCACCTTGGCCTCTGCCTTTAAGATGCTCCTTCCTCTACGCTCCCATCTCATAGAGATGCAGAGTTTGCAAGTCGGAGAATACACAAGGGCCCCCAGCCAAGACCCATGAGTGTAGCTAAAATCCAGCCCATGTTCACGTAAGGGAGTGAGTTGTCCCAGAGGAGGCCTACTCTAGTTTGCACAAAGATGCTATATGAGCAACCTGCGGCCTGCTTGGCCACACCCCCATGATGGAGGCACACATATGTCTCCGTGTGATCTTATGATCCACCTGTTGGCATTCCCATAGGACAGTGGGTACCTTGGGGGCAGACACTGGATGGAATTCACCTTTGTATTTTAACTCCTGGCATAGACATTCACCTGTGGGGCTTGGAGCATTAAATGAAGACTTGTCAATTCCTAGTGTGGCTCTTTTACCTTCTCCGTTGCTCCTGCTCCTATCTCTGGAACCCTAAGGACGCATCCTGTTTTACTCCCCAGACCAGGCCTTTAGGGATTGAAGATGGGGCCATCAGAGCCAGAGAGCCAGCCCCAGTTCCCAAAGCCATACCCAGGGATGGTACGTGGGCTCCCCCACCAATACTGCATGCCCTTCCACGTGCCAAGGTGGCAAGGCCCACTGGTACCTTCATGTAGGCGTTGAGGGCAGGTATCCGCATCTCGGCGATCTCCTGTTTCACACCCACGTAGACTTTGGCTGAGAAGAGACAAAGAGCTGTCCTAGGAGCCTGGCCCAACATGGCCCCGGGGCTCAGGGCTGCCCCTACAGGCCAGGAACCCTGGCCAGAGCCCCTTCCCGATGGCTCAGCATTCTTCCCTGTTATCTTTTCACAGCACTGAAGTGGCCACTCTGGCACCATCCAACTTTCATCCTCTCAGTTGTGCTATCACCAGCTGATATTTTTCTTGTCTTACTTTTTTATTTACTGCCTGTTCATCCAAGCGCACACACACACACACACACACACACACACACACGACTCTTAGTTCTAAGAGAGCAGGATTTTCACCTGCTTGGCTCACAGCTGTACCCCCATCACCCAGGACAGTGGCAACACCGGCTGCACATTCAAGCTACCCAAGGAGCTTGTAAATATCTCACTGTGTAGCACTTGCCCCAGAGCAATTAAATCAGAATCTCCGGGGGCAGGACTCAGGAACCAGGATTCTTTCCATCTCTCAAGGCACGTCCACATACCACCAAAGTTAAGAACCATGGGTCTAGAATCATGCCCAGATGAATGAGCATTTGTTAAGTGGATGAATGAACAATTCCTCAAGCTCAAGGCAGATGTTCTGGAGGAAAAGGAAATATGACGGGCTACCAAGAGACAAATGTCCCCTCCAGGTGCCTTCATGTGGGCGCACTGGTGGAACCATTCACCAAGAGAACCCCTACGAGGAAGCAAGTCTGAAACCTGCCTGGCTCCTGGTGTCCAGGAGATGGACAGAGGTGATGGCGGCGGCGGTAGGAGGGTCTGGGCTAGAGCTAGACATTGGGAGTTAGGAGCAAAAACGTGACAATTAAGTCCCAGACATGGGTCAGTTTGCCAGGGTGAGTGTTTGGAATGAGAAGACAAGGCAGGGGAGAGAGGATGTCTGCTCAGAGGATCCCCACCTTCCAAGGAGCAGCAGAGAAGGTTGATTCTGTAACAGAGAAGCTGAAGGAGTCTCTAGTAAGCTAGGAAGGGGATTGGGAGACACTGGTGCCTCAGGAGGTTGGAGAAAGCTTAACAGAGGAAGGAGTGGGGGTGTGAAGATGAGGCTTGGCACTGGCCATGGAAGCCAGAATTGATGGGTCATGGCCCACCTCACCGAGAGGAATTTCAGTGGAGTAGTCAGAGCTAAACCAAGCTGAGGAGTTAAGGAGAGGATGGCCATGCCAAGGTGAGACAGTGCGTGAATTTGATGCCAAAGGAAGAAGAAAGAGAACTTTGGGGGCCCTGGGGGCACGGAGGCTCAGGGAGGCTTGTAAGAATGCTGTTTCATGGCTCAGGATTGTTTAAAGACAGAAGAGGGTTGAGGCTGTGGAGACGCTTAGCAGAGGGAGTTGGTATATCAAGAGGAAGATGAATATACAAGGAAAAGGAGGGGTAGATTGTCAGGAGAGAGCCCCAAAAGAGAGAGGAGGGAAAATGATGGAGCCTGAGAGGGGAGGCTGGCTTAGAGTAGGCAAGACTCCTAGGGGGAGCTTCAAGTTCCTTGGTGGGGCTGGATGAGAAGGAGCGGGGTCATATGCTGAGACAGAGAGAGACAGAAACAGAGACAGAAAAAACAAACTGGAGATGGGGTTGGAGCTTGGGGAAGGGTCCCTGAGGCTTGGGGAAGGGAGACAATTGTCCCTGTCTCTAACTTGCAGGGCACGAAGGGCGCCGCTGAGACCACCCCCGTGTAACCCATTCGTGATGGGGTTTCCTCCTGCGGGGCAGGTGCTGAGCAGCTAAGGGCTTGGCGCTGTCCAAGGTGCGCGTTAGGATCCAGCTGGGGAGGAAGGACCAGGAGGCCAGGGGGCGGGGAGACTGTTTGCAAGCAGAGGCTTGAGGCCACCCAGCTTCCTGGCGGGACAGGAGAAGAAGGAGAGCCACAGGGACGCTGGAAGCCAAGACCATGAAGTCAGAGGGCTGGTCTCGTGGGAGGAAGCTGAGGGTGGGCAGGGAGGTGAGTCAGTGTGTTTAGGGACCAGACTGGGGGATTCCTGTCTCTGAGGAAGGGAGGCCAGGTGCTGAAGTGCTCCAGACTGTGGCCTCCTGGTAGTGGACAGCAGGAGCGAGTGGCCACGATGGTCATCAGAGCTCCGGGGCTGTGAGGCTAGAGTGCTTGGGGTGGAAGCCATGGCGTGAGGCAGGGGGAGCCATGCAGGGAGGGCTTGGCAGCCTGTAACTGCCGGGAGTGGGGGCTATAAACTACATGAACAGTTTTCACTGGGGTTGAGATCAAATCACAGAACAGTGTCAGGGGCCCTGGAAGGAAGGAGAGTCAGCAGCTCTGCAGCAGCAGGACGGGAGTGGCCGCCTACCTGGGAGTGTGGGCAGGGTACAGGCCAGGGCACTGCTCTTGCTGTCTGGCCCGAAGCGCTCCTCCAGCTTGCTCTGCAAAGCATGGAACTGGCGGTAGCGGCGGTAGATGAGGTACTTGGATCCTCCTTTTGTCTTCACCTCGATGACGAAAACCTAAGGAGGACAGAGGTTGTGGGGAGGGCTCAGGGGCCAGGAGCACAAGCCAAAAAGAGGTGGAAGGGAAAAGGGGAGGAGGAGGAGGAGGAAGATGATGAGGATAAGGATGCAGAAGGGTCTCTGGAGAAGGAGACCCCTGTCAAGTCAAAAGGCTGGCGCCCCAGAAGCAGACGAGCTTTGCGAAAAAAAAAGAAAAGAAAAGAAAAAAAAAACTGGAAAAAGAGAGGAAGTGAGACCTAGTGTTAGAGGCAAGAGCCCTTGGAAATAGGCCAAACACACATTCAGGCCCAAGAAATGAGGAGCCATGCCTTGGAGGTCATGGTGCAGAGTGAACCTGCCCCTGGCTGTGCTGTGGGTGCAGGATGCCCCCTCCATCTGTGTCTGAATATGACAGGGGTGTTGTGGGGGCAACACTAAAGTCCCTCACCCCCGACTCTCCAGGTGGAGGTTCTGAGGTCAAAGGACGCGATCAGGATTTCTCAATCTTAGTATTATGCTGGGGCCGGACAGTTCTTTACTGGGGACAGGGCTGTCATGTGCACAGTGGGGTGTTTAGCAGCACCCTGGATTCTACCCACTAGATGTGGAGTAGACCTGCCCCAAGATGCAATAATCAGAATCTCCCAGGGTAATGTCAAATGGGCAAAATCGGTCCTGTTGAGAACCACTGAGATAGAAGTTAAGAGATCAGAGAATTGGAGGTTCAGAGGTCAGAGGGCAAGGTTCAGAGGTCAGCTGGGTGGAAGTTCAGAGGTTGTTGGGTGAAGGACTAGGAGTCTGTCTTACAAAGTGGCTGGTGAAGCCTCTCTTCTCCTCGATGTCAGCAATGTTGGCCGAGATGGCAACATCATCCGGAAGCTGTTCAAAGTCACTGTGCGAAGGAGGGGAAAAGAGATCCTGCTTATCACCCTGATGTGTTTTGTGGGCCCACCGGGTATGAGGTAGAGTGCAAAGCAAACTAATGTTGTGAAGCCAACATTCGTCTCTCAGCACCCCTTCCCAGGCCAGGTCCAGCCACTGACCCTGGGAATACGGAGATAACAAGACACAGCCCAGGCCTTGAGTGCAGGAATGGGAAGCTGGCGGCCATACTGAGTGCAGGAATGGGAAGCTGGTGGCCATATTGAGTGTAGGAATGGGAAGCTGGTGACCATATAGCAATAGCCAAATTATAGTCTAACACATTGCTGTCAATTGCACAGATTCACCTGGGAATAAGGCATCAAACATCTCCATACCAGGCCCTGTCCTAGGCCCTGGGTCACAGATGTAAACAAAGTCAACATGTGCCCTGGATGGAGCTGCTCAGTTCAGGGAACCGCAGGTTGCTGAGCATGGCTGGAGCACAGAGCAGGAGGTGGAACGTGATGAGAGACCAGTCGGAGAGACAGGCAGGGCCCGCTCACGAGGTGCCTTGATGCCTCGCAGAGGGACCTCGAGTTTTCCCTGGGGTGGTGGGGGCTGAGGAAGGAGTCAAGCAGGACAGACATTGGCAGATGCTCGAGGCATAGGCGCAGCACTGGGGACAAGAAGATCAAGCTCCCTTGGGAAGATTCCTAGCTGTGCTCCGCTCCTTCCCTCCTCTGTAAAATGGGGACAGGAGAAGTACTTATGTCTCCGGGTGGTCATGCAGTCCCATCTGTAACAAACACAGCCCTAAAATCTCCATGAGGGCAAGGACTCTGCTCACCCTACATCCCAGTGCCCAGAACAGAGCCCGGCATACAGTAGGTGCTCAGTACTGCTCAATACACGGCCACTACCGTCGTCTGCAATTATAGAGTTTTTTGATGGGCAGCATGAGAATGGCCTGGCTGCCTGTGGGGCGGGCAAGAAGAGCAGCAAACCCAACCGGAAGTCCCCTGGAATATCCGCTCCCTTGGGGACCTCACCCAGGCCCTACTGGGCCGGGATGTTCTGGCTCAAGACACACTCGCACAGTTCACAGACTTTGGAGCCTGGCCTGGGGGAGGTTTTGGAGCCTGCCCTGGGGGAGGCCGAGGTTGGAAGAACCCTTGGAGGGCAGCCAGGGCAGGTTTTCTGGCACCTGGCACATAGTAGGTGCTCAAAACATGTCTGTTGGAACCGAACTTGCCACCCCTAAGGCAGCCCTCCCCATCTTTGGATGTCTCACCTTGGGGTTCTAGAAAGTCCCCGCTGCGCGAACCTGCGCCCTCTCCTTGTACTCTCTGCTTTGACCTTAAGCAGAACAATCCAGGCTCGCTTTCAGATAAGACCTTCGAGGTACAGGGAGCCCCCATGCCCCTAGTACCTGGCTCAAGGCCTCATGAAAAGCAGTCCCTCCCCCTCTGAGGGCTAAGGCAGCTGAAAGGGGACAGGGAGTGGGGGAGGGAGTGCACAGTCCTGCTGGTCAGCTCTCCGTGTCATCCCCTGAACCCTGTACCCCAGAAAGCAGGAAGTGCCCAAGCCTCAAACAGCTGCTGCTTCCGGAAGATTCGAGTTTGCGTGCGGCTGGGTCCCCCAGGAGCATGTGAGGGGAGGAAGGAATTCAGGTCGGCCAGCCTTACCCAGCTCCTGCACCCCGCTCTGAGGCTCAGGAAGGCCACGTGGACTCCCCTGTAGGCATTTGCTTCTGCTGCCCTTGCCCCAACCCACGCTTCAGGTTCTACTTCCAGCCCCAGGCCCCAACATGGGCCTTCTGTTCCCCGCGTAGGCACACACCAGCCTGGCCTGTCTCTGGTGACCCCCTGAGTGGCCTCCACGTAGGTAACAGAGGTCACCTGCTGTTCCAATCCAGGGGGTGCAGGGGCCAGGCTTTGCGTCCTCAGGGCCCCCGCAGCTTAGAGCTCAGACCTGGCTACTGAGGAAAAATTCTGAAAATGCTTCCCAAGCGACGAGGCTAGATGCTGGTGAGGCCGTGCTCCAAGCCCCAACCTTGCCAGTCACTCTCTGTGACCCTGAGTAAGTCTCTTATCCTCCCTGGGCCTCAGATTTCCAATCTGTACAATGGCAAGGTTGGACTAGAAGAATCTAAGACCTTTTCCGTCTCAAAGATCCACCCATTCATTCATTCATTTATTCATTCATTCAGCAACATTTATTGAGCCCTTGGTCCTGGTGCTCAATAGGGATGAGCTACCTCCTAGTGATACAGCAGCGATCAAAACGGACACAGCCTCGTGGAGCTTGCTTCTCATGGGGGAGCCAACGTTCAAGAAAAAATAATAAATGAGCATATAATATTATTCCTGTAATATAAGAACCAGGCAGAAAAGGGAAATAGGGCAAAGGGTCAGACAGCAATGAGGTAGGGGCTGTCAGGAAGGCTTCTTGGAGGAGGTGACATTTGAGGCAAGCCCTGATTAGCGGAAGAACAAGCCAGATTCTGTGAATTCTGTTTGCGCAGAAGATGGAAAGTCATTGCTGATCACCATGTGAAGCAAAGGGCCCCAGCCTGGGACCCAGGACACCTGCATTCCTCTCCAGACACTGCCGGTCACTCGTTGTGTGACCGTGGGCAAGTCACTCCCACTCTTGGAGCCTCAGTGTTCTCATTTGTGTCTGAGGGTGGTGAGCCACAGCTCAAAGTTTCGTTAAAGCAGTTCTGAGAGGTTGCATTTCTGAGTATTTGGGTTCTGACTCAACCCCAGCCTCTCATGTTGATCAGGGACTGCAGAAGGACTGGCCTTTGTCCCTAAGGCCTATGAGGAGCAGTGAGAAGGCCCGGGGGCGGCCACACCCCGGCACTCACCTCTCGGCCCGCAGCTGCTGGGCCACAGCCATGGTGGGCGATGGTCCCAGGGAGCAGGTGGAGAGTCTCGCCCAGCCAGTCCCAGGCTGAGTTCACCTCTCACTTCCTCCAGCCACCCTGCGTCTCGTCTCAGCCTGTGGTCCTGGGAGTCCCCAGGAGCTGCCTTTGGGGAGGCTCAGGCCTGCTTCTCTCCAGTCTGGCAGAGGCTCCTCCTCCAGGCTCTCTGGGCCTAGCCTGTGGCCCACACTTCCTCTTACCTCACCTCCCAGCTGCACAGAAATTGAGGAAGTGGACCCTCGGGTGCCAGGTTTGCAGGAATCCACTTCCTTGATGTCAGTCCTTGGCGCCAAGCCTCAGTTGGGTATCAGAAGCCTTGCTCCATCAGAGATGGGGTCCCAGCCATCAGGGTGTCTTGTGACCTTGAGGAGTCACTTATCCTCTGGCCCATCAAGCCCCACCTTTATTCTCTTACTGCCAAGCCTTTGCCCAAACTCTTCCCCAGGCCTAGAATGCTGGCCTCCATTTTCCTGTGATCTCTTAGGCCCAGAGTAAATGCCACCTCCTCCAGGAAGCCCTCCTGGTTCCTCTGGCCTCTGTCTTCCTAGAGTGTGAAGTTTGGTTTGCGCGCCCTGGCACTCTGGGATATCCTTTCCTCATCCTTAGATCTCCATGCCCAGCCAATCCTCTTTCACAGGGCTGCCAATCAGAGTGAGTTTCACCCTCCCTGCTTAAACTCTCCTGCCCCATCACCCTGTGCTCAGGATAAAGTCCAGAGTCCTTGCCCTGCCTGCCTCCAATGCCCCTGAGGCCCTGCAGCCTTCCCCAGCCTCTGCTCCTGAGCTCCCTTTTTCTCACTGGCCTCCTTTCCGTTTCTAGAATGTTCTAAGACGTCCGCCCCAAGGCCTATGCTCATGGTGTTCCCTCTGCTGGAAAAAGCTCTTCACTGCCTCCTTTGCATCTCAGCTTAGAAGCTACATCTTTAGCGAGGCCTTCCCTGACCACACACCCTAAATTAAGGCCCTCCCTACTACATTCTCTCACAGGTCCCTGCACGTCTACTGCAGAGCACTCATAACTATTGTCATCTCACATTTGTTTGTTTATCTGTATGTTTAATGACTGCCTCCTTGGCTAGCAGCGTGCCTGGCACATTGCAAGTGCTCAACCAATATTCAGTGAATGAATGAAACGCTGCCAGTCAGTGACTGCAGCTCCTAACAGGTATGGGTATTTGATTCTGAAGGGACTTCTCTGAGAAGAGGTCCACAGGAGTCATTGGCACAGCCACACCCAGTAACTCCCTGCCAGCTACACACGCTCACACACTCGTATTCATACATGCAGAGCAGAAAGTTGTTTTAAACTACTTTAAACATACAAGTCCCAGCTAAAAAAAACAAGAAAGCATAATTTTTAGGTAGGATCAAAGAGAGGGGTCAGGAATCTATACCAGGGGGAGAGGAACGTGGCCAACAGCCCATGGGAAAACCAAGATTGGATATGCATTGTTGGGCTGAGATTTTAATGCCAAATCTGGGACTAGGTACAGGCCACAGGTCCTGCTGTTAGCAGAAAGTCAAATCTGAGTTCTCAGTGTAAAGTGGGTGTCAGAACTGATTATGGGAACAGAGTTTCTCAGCCATCAGCCTAGAGTCACGGCAGGAGCTGAGGTCCTCTCACAGTCCATGGGTGGAACAAGGGACGTGTGTACCAGATCAGCCTCAAGCCTGCCCTCTGCACTGGTGTAAGGCCCCGATATAAGCTACCCACGTGGTGCAGAAATCCTAAGCTGAGGCATTATATAAAAACAGCTTGGAGTCAGTGACTCTGCAGGGCCTACTCTGTCAACTCACAGACCAAAACTACAAATCGTGAGCTGTGAAAGACAGCTCAGAGCCTCCACATCATGAAGAATTCACACCCAAAGAACTAGAAATAATACAAACAATAAGTCTGATGAGTTGCTGGTGTCTCGGGGCTCCCAGGCTAGAGGATGAAATGAAACACAGAGCAGGGTTATTAGTGCAGGTGTCTGTAAGTACCAACAGGTGCAAGCACACAGCCATAACTGAGGGAAGAGGAGGACATTGGCCTACAGTTGGTCAGGAAGGACAGGAAGTGGCAAAACAATTTTAGCAAGCAAGCATGATACAGAATTTGTAGGTGATTGTGTAAACTGTGTGTGTAGTATATGCCTATAGTTGGAAACACATATTTGTGTATAAACACATACAGCTCGCATAGGCAAGTGTAAGTGCATTTGTGTTGTGTCTATAAAAGACCATATAATGTGTATAGTGGTGGCATTGTGGCTGTGAGAGAATGTGTTTAGATGTTTAGGTTGCAGTCGGTGACAAATGAGTATAAACACAAGTACATTTATAATAGGTGAACTCAGGCAAGATAACATGTCCTTTTTGAACCTTTCTTCTTCACCAATCTGTGAAACAGTCTTGCCTAATGGAGTTGTAGTAGGAATTAATAGAAAACTGTATAAAAGTGCCTAGACACATGGACATTTCTTATTCCTTTTTTAATCGTTTTCAGTGTGTATATCTGTATGTGTGTGTTTCAGGTGGGTTAAGCCCTCAAGTTTACCTTCCCAGGTATTTTCATGGCTTGCCCTCCAAACCCCGGCCCCCCCAACCCCCCAAGAAACCTCCTGTGGCCCTGACTCAGCCACTGGGAAGCCACCTCTGCACCTGGGGGACAAAGATGTCCAGGGAAGAGCCCGCGACGGGCCAGCTCTTCCCCTCCTCCCCTCTTTCTCTCCTTTTCTTCTGTCCCTGCCCGTGGTTCTGCTGAATACAGGTATTTCTCTGTCTCCTCATACACAGAACGCTGCTGCCAATTTTATGCCCGAGCTCTGATACAGTGTAATTTGAGGCCAGGCACTCTGTCAGCAATGGGCTCCTGTCCTGCCGCTGCAGCAATGCCTGTACCTTCTACTCCCACTCCAGAACCGGGCTCTTGCTGCTCCTGCTGCAGGGGGAGAATGAGGCAGAGGGATGACCTGGAAGAGGAGCCAAGCTCTTCACACGTTCCATTAAACAAGTATGGATGGAATCTTTTTTGGATAAGTGCAAAGAAATGCCTGAAGTGACCTCTCACTTATGGAGACCTGATTTTTGATAACCTCCACATCCCACAGCCTGTGAATAAACCAAAAAAAGAGAAAAGCCATTGAATGGTTAGAATTGATAGCTCAAAGTCTATGCATTGACACTGGCATATTTTATTCACAGAAGAAATATAAAAGGAGCCTGGTCCTCTCTTCCTGCCAACTCAAGAACTTGAAGCAGTGAGTTAGGGGAAGGAAGAAAATTACCAGGGGCAGCCAAATGCAAGCGACAGTTCAGTGACAGCCTGACAATGATAAAGACCATGGAATACCAAAAAATATATATGTTCTCAAGAACTCAAAAAACAAATACCAGAGGCCATTCAGAGAAGGGCATCTCTGCATAACACCACTTACTAATGCCCATTCATAATCACATCTCCAGGAAAAAGTCTAATACACCAAGACCATGCCTGGGGGATCCCCAGAGCCTGAATGGGGACTGGATGTGCGAATCACAAAAGTGCACAGCACTTTTCAGTCCTTCCTCATGCAGGTGCTGGGGTATACAAGATAAACCATAGCCCCCATTTTGGACATGAGGAAACTCTCCTTTGAGCAGCCAGCGGCTGGGGCTGAGAGCTCCAGCCATAGGAACTGGAACTCTGTGATAGGGAGGAGGTGAGCCTCTTCTACAGGACCAGGAGATACCCTTGAGAGCTCATTATAGGTACTCAGCAAATCCCCACTGCCTACATCAGCCACTCTCCAGGGTAAGAGAAGGAAAATCCCTGATTGGACAGTGTAAGATTCCTGGGGATCCCTCACACACTGAATTCCCCAATCTTGACCCACATGTGTCTCCCTTTATAATTTATGAGGGGAACTTCACTGGACCTCCTCCCTGAGCCATAAATAGCCATCCCTGGCATGCCACCCAGGCAGGGAGGGTGTAGACGTGGCCAATTAGACAGCAAACTCCCTGAAGGCAGAGGGTCTTCTCTTCTCTGAGAAGCCCTGGCACACGGCTGAGCTGGGTCTAAACCTCGTGTGCCCTCGCTGTGTCACGCATTAGTTGTGCAAACTCTCCGACCATTGTTCAGTTTTCTAAATGGAGATAATATTTGCCTCTACATTATTAATTGGAGAGAAAAATTGCAGGATTATTGTATTATTCATTTCCAAATGTGTTGAGAACCTACTATGTGCCAGACACCCACTGTGTGCTAGGCCCTAAATGAAACACAGACACTGTTCTTGAGACACGCACTTACTAGAGGTGTGTTAACTAAGGGAATGAATACCAGATGTTTAGGACAGTGGCTCGCGCATAGCAGGTGGTCAATAAATTCTAGACGTTAATGTTATTGACGATCATTCCTTGCTGTGGCTTGGTCCCTCCCTTTTCTGTCTCCCTCTGCTGCACAGCTTGGTCCTCTCTGTCATACAACTAACGTTACATTCTAACTTTTTCCCGCAATCTGTCATCCGCTCTCATCACGCGGGGGCACCGGGACGCGCACTTCCCTGGCGGAACCGGCTCTGCGCTTAATCTAAATGTTGACGGGAACAGACCGCCAGGGGGCGCCGCGATCAGCAGCCGAGTCCCCGCTCCGCAGCGCCACCTAGAGGAGGTTGAATGCTATAAGCCGCACTAGAAGGACCCGGCCAAGTCGAGAGTCAAGTTGCAGCTGGCCAGGCAGAGCGCGCAGCCTGCTGGCTCAGACAACCTCTCCAGACAGCCCTATCAGCCAGAATCTGAGCTGCACTCAGGGGAAGCTTCCCCCAGGGGCTAAGAATCCTGAATCTCCTCTCCACCATCATAAATACGGTAACAGCCAAGTCACTCTGAGAGTTGACTGTGTAACCACCCCTACACCGTGAAATTGCCAGGAGGAGCACGAGAGCTAGCATTTGCAAAGCCCTTAGTACAGTGCCTGGCCCACAGCCTGGCTTGGTCCATGTTGGCTCTGATTGTTGTTACCTAATCCTCACACCAACCCCCATAAAATAGTGGTATTCTTATCCCCACCGGGAGATAAGGAAACCCAGGCTTTACGGGATTAGGAAAATAAACCAAAGCGGCTTGCTTAATGACCGGCAGAGTAAGATTTGGACCTCACATCAGTCTGGCTTCAAGACCCACACTTAATAACTGCTGTACTGGCCCTCATTCATTCATTTATTCACTCCACAAGCATTCATCTAGTATCACTCTGCACCAGGTAGAAAGGATATTGAGATGAATTCAGCACAACTGCTGCCCTCAGGTAGCTCACACTGCTGTTGAGGTACATAAATAAACACACATGCACAACACAGGCACATATACACATGCACACGCAGGCACACATACACATGCACAAACATGTATAAACACATACACATGCATGCACACACAGGCATATATACACATGCACACGCAGGCACATATACACATACACATGTACATATACACATGCACACATAGGCATGTACACAGAGACACATACATATACACATGTACATGTACACCTGCACACACATGCATGTACACACAGGCATATAGAAATGCACATACATGCATGCACACACATGCAAATATACACGTGCATGCATACCCATGCTCAAACATGTACACACATACAGAATCAAGTACAATTTGGGGAAAACCAAGAGATACATGTTTCACATCCAGTTTCTCTGATTCCATCTCCAGTGCTGTCTTTGGTCCCCAGAGGTTATGGACACAAATGTCTACAGCGGCCTGGCAGGTAGCCTGGAGGTTTCAGATGGATCCGGGGGTGGAAAGGCAATGGCAGTAGGCTATAGTCTAGCGTCTGCCTTTCGTTAACCTTACATTCTGGGACAGAACTCCAAACTCTACATTTGAACCTGGCCTTCCAGTTTATCATGAAGGTACATTTATCAAAGAAGGATAGAACTTACTTTTTAGCAGTTGATTGGCTTGATTCCTAACTGTACATATTTAGAATCGTGGTACATGGGCCTCTGTCCCATTGCTCTAGGCCCTCCAAATGTCAGGGTCAGTGAGCAGGACAGATAGGCTTGTAAGTCATGGTGATTCTCAGGATTTCATTCAAAGAGGAAAGAGAAACCATTCAAGTGTTTTAAACAAGGAGTGATATGATTGAATTTATGTTTTTATAAGATGCCTTGGTCCACTACTTGGATATGGGCTTGCAAGAGGGTGGCATTAGAAACAAGGGGAGGAAGCACCACTTCTAACAGCGTTCTACTTCAATTTTTAAAAAATCAGCTTTATCAAGGTGCAATTCACACACAGTAAAACTTACCAACTGAAAGTATACAATTCCATGGGTTTGGACAGTTGTGTAACCAGCACCACAATCATTATATAGGACATTTCCATTATCTCAAAAGATCCCTCAGGACACTTTGCAGCCAATCTCCTTCCCCTACCCCCAGGCCCTGGCAATGACTGATCCACTTTCTATCACAGTATTTTGCCATTTCTGAAATTTCGGACAAAACCACAGAGTATGTGATCTTTTGTGCCTGTTTTTTTTCACATAGTATAACGCTTTTGAAATTCATGAGTGTTGATATGTACATCGGTATTCATTCTTTTTATTGTCAAGTAGTATTTTATTGTATGGATATAACATAAGTTGTTTTCCATGCACAAGTTCATAAACATTAGGGTTTTTTTTTTGTTTTCCAGTTTGGGGCTGTTAAAACAAAGGGGCTACAAACATCAAGCATAAATGTTTGAGTGAGCATGTGCCTTCATTTCTCTTGGGTAAATATCTAAGAGAGAGTTGCTGGGTCATATGGTAGATGCATATTTAACTTTATAGGAAAACTGTTTTCCAGGTCGGGTGTGGTGGCTCACGCCTGTAATCCCAGCACTTTGGGAGGCCGAGGTGGGTGAATCACCTGAGGTCAGGAGTTCGAGACCAGCCTGGCCAACATGGTGAAGCCCCATCTCTATTAAAAATACAAAAATTAGCCACGCATGGTGGTGGGCACCTGTAATCCCAATTACTCGGGAGGCTGAGGCAGGAGAATCCCTTGAACCCAGGAGAGATTTCAGCAAGCTGAGATCGCGTCACTGCACCCCACCCTGGGCGACAGAGCGAGACTCGGTCTAAAAACAAACAAACAAACAAACAAACAAACAAACAAACAAACAAAAAGAAGGAAACTGTTTTCCAAAGTGGTTGAATCATTTTGCATTCCCCCTGACCCATGTATCAGAAGACAGAGGCTCCAGAGTACCCGGTGTGCACTGGCTCAGAGGCAGTGGCCCCAGGTCTGCACAGACTGGGGGTCTAAATGAGTCATAGCCTTGGGGCTGGTTATTAAATGATTTTCTCCCAGCTCCAAACCTTTCTTCTACCCTCTGCTTTGTGGTGCCCGAGCTGGGACTCAAAACCCTGTTTGTTCTGCTTTGCTGGCTGATTTCCGCTGCCCTTGGCCAGGAGGGGGCGCTGGAGGGAGGCCGGAAGGATGGGAGAGGAAGGAGGGGCTTGCTTCTTTCTCTTTGCAGGCGGGACCCAACTGCCCTGCCCTGGAAGCCATGTTGGCCCAGCAGCAGTTGATTCTAGGTTTTAGTTTTTTTCACATTCCCAGAGCCAGTCTCACCCCACCCCCTCCTCAGAGGTCTGCAGTTCTGAGTCCCAGCTCCTCCCCGCAGGTCTAAGTCTCCTCCTCCAAGCTTCCAGGCTAGCGTAACCCCGCTCTCTTCCTTCCGTTCCCACAGCCGCAGGGGTGATGGCTGCTTCCTGAAGTTTCTATCTCTGGTGACCTCGGTGTCTCCTTCTGCCTTTTCAGTCTAACAGAATCTGTTCAAGCAGTCTCCTTTATAGAATTCTCACTTTAAAAATTATTCATTTGCTTTCTGTGTCACCAAACCTAGCCAGCCTAGCAGGCTGCAAGGCCCAGCTCCCAGCCCCAGGGTGTCCCAAGGGAAGCAAGGCAATAAGGCAGAAAGAGCTCTCACTCTTTGGCTATGAACTCTCAGACATCTCCCTCAAGCACTCCGAGCTTCAGGTTATTTATCTGCAAAATGCATCCAAATAGAGCCTAATATAAATGAGGGCTTAATAAATATTTGAGGGAGGAAGTGGAAGAAGGAGGTATTTTATATCCGTTATTGATACCTACTTCATTTGAGCATGTTACAAATTTTTTTCTAATACTCTGCAGGGAATGCCAAATCCTTCCCCTGTGCACTCTGTCTTTATTCTTCTTGATAAGGTGTAGCAGAGACTGCTAATATCCCCTACGATCCACTCTGTCCTTTCTCCTTTAGTGATAAAGTCCCTGAGTTGTGGCTGGACTCATGGCCACCCAGCTAAAGAGAACATTTCCCAGCCTACCTTGCAGCTCCCTGTGGCCATGTGACCAGTTGCTGGCCAATAGAATGGGAGGGGAGGCCATGGACATGCTATCAGGCTGTGTCGTGAAAGACAGAAGGTGTATCTTCCATTTCCCATCTCCCCTTCCAGCTGGCTGGAGAGGCCAGCTATGGAGAACAGTTAAGCAACAAAACAGCTTGGATCTCTGACCCTGCTTCTGTTCAGATTTTTCAGGGAGAAAGAAATTTCTATTGTGTTTTAGCAGCTGATTCTTTGATGCTTGTTACAGCAGCTGAACCTGTACCCTACCCAGTACACTGGAGCAGGGATTGGCAAATGCTTTCTTTTCATTTTCTTTCTTTCATTTTTTTTTTTTAAGTTGGAGTCTCGCTCTGTCACCTAGGCTGGAGTGCAGTGGTGCAATCTCAGCTCACTGCAACCTCTGCCTCCCGGATTCAAGCCATTCTCATACCTCAGCCTCCTGAGTAGCTAGGATTACAGACATCTGCCACCACGCCCCGCTAATTTTTGTATTTTTAGTGGAGATGAGGTTTCAACATGTTGGCAGGCTGGTCTCAAACTTCTGGCCTCAAGTGATCCACCTGCTTCAGCCTCCTAAAGTGCTGGGATTGCAGGTGTGAGCTACTGCACCCAGCTGAAAAATAATTTCTAAAAAACGCCAGATAGTAAATAGTTTAGGCTTTGCAGGGAGTTGGTCTCTGTCACAACTGCTGAATTCTGCTGTCACAGCACAAAAGCAGCCATAAACAATAAATAGTTGAATGTGCATGACTATCTTCCAATAAAACTTTATTTATAAAAGCAAGCAGGTCTGTGTGGACGCTGCACCAGAGTTAACAGCAAAGAGACTACCTTGCGACAGTTAAAAAGAGCTCAGGAAGGTGAATCCTGGGTGAGGGGTGAGGCAGAGCAGCTGCCTGAGGGCTGCCTCCTCCCTGAGGGTCTACCTCTGGTTCCTGATGCTGCTAAGATGCCACTGCCTTTGAAAGTGCCCCAGGAAAGGAGGGCTCCTCTAGCTGCAGTTTATCCAGCACAGACATGTTGGAATTTGATTTTCCTAAAGGCATCAAAAGGGGAAAAATCTACAGCCAGCAGAAAAGTGTGGCTCCAGGCTGACCAGCATCTGCATGAAACTATATTCAAAAATCAGTCGTGCCTCCAAATATTAACTACAAAGGAATGGCAACCTCCCCTTTCCACAGCCCTCTCCTCCCTCCTCTGCGCTGCAGCACTCTGAAGCCCCTCACCCACCCGCACCCTCCCTCCAGCCCGGGCCCCAGGACATGCCTTCCTCCCTTCCTCTGCCTGCTCATTGTCCTGTACATCAACTTGACCTCTCCTGATGCATTCTCCCCGTCTTCCTCCCATCTCTATGATTTTATGGCTTTTCTTCATCCATTTGATTCTTTGCATCACCTAAGATTCAAAACTGGTCAAAGACTTCCCTGGAAGGCTGGGGCAGCACCCTCCCCAGCTAGAGCTGTCACTTTAATTCCAGCCTCTGTCAGCGTCTTCACTTCTCACCTCTTCCTGCTGAAGATTCCATAGCATGGGCACATTTGGGGGCAAGAACCATGTCCCATTCATCTATGAATCACCAGTGTCCAAAACAGGACCAATAAGGGTTTGTGGGAGGAAGGGAGGGAGAAAAAGAGGGGAGGATGGAGGCCGAGAGTGAAGAAGGAGACAAAGCAAGTGGGTAGACTTGCAGTAGGACTGGGCTTTTGATCTCGGACATTGCCCTCTTGCCGGATGAGGCCAGGACCCAGGTGATTGAAATAAAAGCATCTCTCGCTCCTCATGAGCTCTGCCCTCTACGTTAAGGGGAGAGCTTTCCCTCTTACATGCCCACAGTGTGGCGACGACTGCCCAGGGTGCCCCACTCTCTCGGAGCTGCACAGCCAGGAACCAGAGAGCTTTGTAACACGCAGTCCTGGGAGTTCTGTAACTGGCCTTTCAGCTCCTGGCCCTTCGGCCACCTGCTCCCAGCTGTGACCTCCTAGCCACAGCCCTCAGTGTACTCCTGTCCCCAGCCCTCACCTGGGGTCCTTCTGCAGCTGTGGCCTCTGCTATTTGTTTTTTGTTTTTGTTTTTTCTGAGACGGAGTCTCACTCTGTCTCCCAGGCTGGAATGCAGTAGCGCAGTCTTGGCTCACTGCAATCTGCCTCCCGGATTCAAGTGATTCTCCTGCCTCAGCCTCCTGAGTCACTGGGATTACAGGCGTGGACCACCACGCCCGGCTAATTTTTGTATTTTTAGTAGAGACGGGGTTTCACCATGTTGGCCAGGCTAGTCTTGAACCCCTGACCTCAGGTGATCCACCCGCCTTGGCCTCCCAAAGTGCTGGGATTACAGGCGTGGGCCACTGCGCCTGGCCTGGCCTCTGCTATTACCTACCACCCACAATGCTGCCTCGGCTCCCCCAACCCCTGTGCCACTTGCTCCCACCGCTTCTCCTCTGTGACTGGGGCTCCTCCCAGATGCCTCTCCAACCTCAGCCACCTTCCCCAGCATGCACTCTGAGTGGGGGTTTCCTTACTCCCGAGCGCTCTGTTACCATCTGCACACCGAGGACTCTGCGGTCGCTCGCTGGGCACCAGGCCGTGTGTCCCAGCTGCCTCCTGGACCCCCTACCTCTCCCTAGCTGTTCCCCGAGCCCCTCCAAGCCAGTGGTTCCTTTCCCTCCACAGCGGCCCCTCCTCCTGAGCTCTGTCTCCACCATTTACGGAAGACAGAAACCTGGAGTCACCTTGGCCTTCCTGTCTCCTTGGCCTGCCACAGCCGATCTGTCAGGAATGTATTTCACCTCCTTAAGTTCCCTCTAACTGCCTCTCCTCCTCCATCCCTACAGCCTGGGCTTAAATTCAGATTTTCCTCCTCTCCTGCCTGAATAATTTCAACAGTGGCCCACCTGGTCTTGTCCTCCATCCGTCCTGCGGGTTGTCATCCACACCAGCTCCTGGGAGGCCTTTCCTGAATATGACTAACCCCACACATCCCATCCCTCCAGGCCTCACGGTGGCTAAGAAAACGAGTCCATATCGCTCTCATTCAGCCAGGCTCCAGCCTAACTCCAGACTCATTCCTCTCCTCTCCCAGCTAAAACTACTGGGGCAGGTGGTCCCTCAAGCCCCAATGTGCCCAGGCCTTTGCATATTCCAGTGCCTCCACCCCCCACCCCCAATATCTCTGCTTAACCAATTCCTAGTTCTCCTTAAAGACTCCACACGCCATCCACTAGAAAGGTATCACAAGGGTTCGAAATGGAACATCTGCCTGGCACACAGTAAGTGCTTAAGATGATGGAATTAGGAGTGTTATGGTGGGTGCCCTGGAGCCCTGGGGACGATAAGAAAGATCACGAGGTGATCTTTAGAATCTTAGAATGGGCTTCACAACGATCTTAGAAGGGGCTTCAGCCTCAGGGTAAAGTTTGATGCTCAGACCACTTCCCCTTCCACTTAATAGCAGGATCTAGACTTTCTCCAGCACCCCTCCCAGGTCTTTCCAAAAGTCTTCTTCTTCTCTGATGAGGGAGGGAAAGGGTCTTTTCTCCCCTTGTTCCTCTGCCCCCACACACTCCCATCTGAAACCCCTACCTCCCGGAGCCCTGCATTGTAGGGCGTGGACCTGCCCCTTATCCCCCGAAAACCCTATCTACAGACTCTAACGGAAGGGCAGAAGGTGTAGGGATGACCAGGGGATGAGGGGCTCTGCACATGCCCCTCCGTAGGGCACTCATAGGCCTCCGCTATGCTGGTGGCCGTGGTGTCCTGAGACTCTCCTCTCTGCCATCCTCAGAGAATCGACTTCCCGAAGAAGGCTCAAGGATAAGCCCCGGGCTGCTGGCTCTCACTGCACCCCCGTCGTCCTCTCCACCTGCTCCCCTCACCTTGGGGACCCTGTGGCGGGGGGGTGGGGGGCGGGGGCGGGTCTGAGCTCATTGGTTTTCTTTTCACTGGTGCTCCGCTCTGCGTAATGTAGGTTTTCTTTTTCTTTTCTTTCTTTCTTTTTTTTTTTTGAGACAGAGTTTTGCTCTTATTGCTCAGGCTAGAGTGTAATGGCACGATCTCGGCTCACTGCAACCTCCACCTCCCGGGTTCAAGCGATTCTCCTGCCTCAGCCCCCTGAGTAGCTGGAATTACAGGCACGCACCACCACACCCAGCTAATTTTGTATTTTCAGTAGAGACGGGGTTTCTCCATGTTGGTCAGGCTGGTCTCAAACTCCCGACCTCAGGTGATCCACCCGCCTGGGCCTCCCAGAGTGCTGGGATTACAGGCCTGAGCCACCACACCTGACCATTGTGTAGGTTTGCTGCCCTTCTGAATATATTACCTTTCCTCGAAGCAAATCCCGCCTTCCACAGTGTATTACCATCTCACATCCATTGATGCTCTTTCTCTTCTCTTTGTCCTTGACTGACGGACTATCCTTTATATACACATACATACATATACATATAGAGATAGATAGATGATAGATAGATATAGATATAGATATTTTTTCTTTCTATGTCAACAAGGGCTCAGGAGGGAGGAGAGACCAATGCTTGTAACTTTTTTCCACAAAGTAGTTGATTGCTTTCTGTATGTGCAACTGTCTTTTATCCAGACTTTTCCCAGAAGGCCTCTCCTTTTCAGCAAAAACAACACCAAAATGAATCAAGGTATTTTCCTGAACTTGGAAGTCATCTGCTCCCTTCTCCCCCAGGAATGCACCAGAATAAGCATTTCACTTTTGAAAGTTTGCAATATGTATTTTTTTCTTTTCTTTACAGTATTCCTCCCACAGATGAGGAAACTGGAGCTTGGAGGGAATGAATTGCTGGACGTCACAGAGATGAGCTGGGACTTGAGTTTCATGCTTCTCATTCCAGAGGGTGCCCTAGCTTCGCCTCCATCACATGGCCTGGGACACTGGAACCTGATGAGAACCCAGGAGAAGGGACCTTGGGCTGGCCAGGTACTTTCCCTTTGCCCATGCAGTGCTGCTGGTGGCAACAGCTTCCATGTCATACAGGAGGGAACGGAGGCTCGGAACTGCCAAAGCTCCACACGGATACACCCTTGTAGAGAGACTCCCCCCATGGAAGGGTCACCTCAACCACTTTCTGCTGGTTCCCTTGCAGACATTTCAAACTTTGTCACCTATTCAAAGATGGCTTTCTACGGACTACATGAGCAACCAACAAGCTAACCCATTGGGTGCCATGAAAAAACATGAAGCAACAGCCACATAGGAGAGGGGATTCCGCACTTGGAGATGCTGGTCCTACCTGACGGATGAAGACCCCTGGTGGGAGGTCACCTGGCTCCCATCTGTCGAGGGCTGTCAGTCCTACACCTGTCCTCTCACAGGCTAAGCCAATCTGCAAGCCCATTTGAATGAAGGTGTCATGTGGTGAACCACTGTTTTACATGCCATTCAATGTTGTTTGTTTGGTATATGCCATGGGCTCCGTGTTCCATGTCCCCATCCTGAAAATGGAGGTCCTGGGGATGAGGGATCTTTAGGCAAAAAGAACCAGGCCAGATTGGTGTGCACAGTGCCATGTGGTAAAAGAGGCTTTCCAAGCCCTGTGGGCAAACTCTGGGGAAAACAGGTCACCAAAGGCCCTATGCAGGCTTCAAAATAAAAGCCTTCTGAGAGGGCTGTGCTGGGGTGGCTGGCAGAGCAACAGGGCAAGGCCTGGGGAAGCTGGGGAGAGAAAGGAAGGAAACGGGACCCAGGGGAAGAAAGCGCTTTCCAGAGGGAACGTTGGAGCTGTACTAGTTGTTAAAACGTGGACGTGCATCTGTAGCACTTGGTTCCATCCACTGCCTCCCAGCACCTGTGCTGCCCCTCCCCCTCCCCATGGCATGCCCAGAACCTCCTCATGCCCATCACCTAAATGGTTAATGCTGGGCACATCTGGGGGCCACATGGACACTGCTCTGGATCAGACAATCATTTTGACTATGACCCCTGGAAAAAATCATGGCATGAACTGCCACGGATGCAGCAGTGGCTTACAGAGCATTCGCTTCTCGGCATCACACACCAGCCAAGGTTTACGGAGCCCCGGATGGTTGCCAGGCACAGTGCTAGGCCCTGGGGATTCAGACACAAAGCAGGTACAGCACAAAGTCAGGCAAGGCTCAGAGACCCAGGAGCTGGTTCGTTTGGCTCAAGATGAAGCAGGAGGGGAGAAACAGGAGAGGAGAGGCCAGGAGATCAGCAGCGGACAGACCAAGGAGGGCCTTATAAGTCAAGCCATGGAATTTGAACTTTATCAGGCAGGCCAGGAGAGGTGTGGGAAGGATCTGAACAGAGGAGATACTGGGTGAGGTTTGTGTTTTACCAAGAACACCGTGGATGCTGAAGGGAAGAGAGGTTGCAGCTGAGCAAGACTAGAAGCTGGTCATTGGGCTGAGGGTGAGCTCAGGGCAGGGCTGATAGGGTCTAAGGAGGAGGACAGTGGAGATAGACAGACAGAAAGCAGAATCGGCTGGGTGCGGTGGCTCACACCTGTAATCCCAGCACTCTGGGAGGCCGAGGTGGGCGGATCACGAGGTCAAGAGATCGAGACCATCCTGGCCAACATGGTGAAACCTGTCTCTACTAAAAATACAAAAATTAGCCAGGCATGGTGGCAGGAGACTGTAGTCCCAGCTACTCGGGAGGTTGAGGCAGGAGAATTGCATGAACCCGGGAGGCGGAGGTTGCAGTCAGCCGAGATCGTGTCACTGCACTCCAGCCTGGCGACAGAGTGAGACTCCTTCTCAAAAAAAAAAAAAAAAAAAAAAGGCAGAATCACAGGTCTGTGGCTGGTTCCACACAACCATACCATGTACCAAGCAAAGCTTAACAGTTATCCCCATTCGAATGATTGGGCAGGTTAAGGTTGCAGAACAATATTGTATGCTCAGCACTGCTCCAGGGGCTTTTGGATAAAGTACCCAGCGAGGTGTGTGTTCATTCAGTTTCCACTTTACAGACAAGGAAACAAAGGCAAAGAGTGTGTAAGTGACTGGTCCAAGGTCACACTACTAGAAGATGGTAGAGAGTCAGATGAACATAGGCAATGTGAGAAGAGGAGAGAACTCAGAAAGAGACTCATGTTGGCTTTGAAGAAATGTAAATTTAATCTGTGTCTTCAAGGGGAAATCCCAGAAATGGGGCTAAAAGCAACTGGAAAGGAAATGCAGGCTCAATATAAAGAAATTTCTAATAATCCAGACTGTCTTTTTAAGGAATAAGCTTCTGGCCAATGGAAGTATACAAGAGTGAGGCCATGCCCCCGCAGAGCGAGCCACCTGGAGAAGAGGGATGTCCCTGAGAAAGAATGGAGAGGTTTGATCAGAGGAAGACTCTGGATCCAGATTAGTTGAGTTCAAATTCCAGCGTCCTACTTACCAGCTGAATGACTTTAGTAAAGTTACATAGCCTCTGTGGCTCAGTTTTGTCATCTGTAAAATGGGGCTAAGAGGAGTACCTATCTCATAGGGTGGTTAAATGAATTAATACATGAATTAATCAATGAGCTAACTTAACATTCTCAGCATTCTCGGCACTAATAGGATCAGGAAACGAAGCCCTGGAAATAGGTGGCAAATGGCGCTGTTCTCAGGGAAGCAGCCCAGGAGCTAGTCAGTGAGGGACCCCGGAAAGCCATGTTTCTGTGGATTCTCTTGAAGGACAGGGTGCAAACAGGTTCCAAGCACCAGGAAGACTTGCTTACATCCATGCCCTCTTTGCATTTTCTTAGTTGTTTTTCCTTAGAGTTTACTAAAGCACTTTGACAGTTGCAGTCTGACTTTGATATTCCAAGAATAAATCCAGGAAGGAGTTTGTGGCCCTGGTTGGGCCAGAACATTAAAGGGATAGCAGTTCCCCTCTCTGGTCCTTGAGACCAGAGTAGAAGTGCTGAAAGGGGTCAAATCCAGACTCCGAGGACTTCGCTTCATTGCACTCACAGCCTTGCCTGTCAGGGTTGTAAAAGTAGGAAGCAAAAACCAACAGGAAAGAGATGGCTAAGTAAGTTGTAAAATCCATTTATTTATTCATGGGCAAGCCTTATTTTTGATGCAAAATGGTGTTAGTCTGATTCATTCTCTCTCTCTCTCTCTCTGTCTTGTCCCTCTTTCTCCCCAAGAGTGGGATCTGAAGGATGGTTACTGTCCCAAATCAAATTGACCTCATGCATCAGTCAAGACCCAGTCAAAACCAGAAAGCACACACACCAGTTACTTTAACAGAGGGAATTTACTATAGGGAATTGGTTAGACAGGTCTCTGGGCCTGAAAAGGCAATGGGGGACTTAAGTGAGATGCCTAGAGATAGTAACTTCAGGAAGGAACTTTGCCCCCAGGGCTGTCAGAACAAAGGGGAGAGGTGGTGGTGAACAGAACCCGGAAATTCCAAAAAGAGACTGCACAAGCTGGGATGTGGATGGCTGAGGAGGGAACACTGGCCAGCTGACCCTCAGATCTTGAGGGAGTGTGATGGGGCTGATTTGGAGGGTTCTAGAAAAAACTAGAGGGGGTAACTAAGTGCTGCTGCCAGGGTGAGGGACCAGTGCTGGGGTGAATAAGTGAAGCTGAGGGGATGCTCAGCGGATGGGCAAGTGGGAAGGAAAGCACGAGGCTCTTCTCCTCCAGCCTCACAGGCTCCCTCTAGCACCCACCAGTGCCAGGGCCTAACAGGAGGGAGCTGGCAGTGCGGAAATGGGTTTGCAGAATCCCAGCCTTAGACTGGGAGCTGAACGGGGGAGGGTGGATCGGGGGTTTATATGAGATGACAGCTTAATAACCAACACACTCTGGGGACTCCCAAAGAAATGGGCCACAAACCTTGCGGCAACTCCCAAAGCCTAATTTTGAGATACAAACTCCTCTAGAAATAAATTCTAAGAGCACTACTACGTACCAAACACTGTGCTAGGCGCTGTGAGAAGGCATGGAACTAGAAAGACATCTTCAGAGCTGAATGTTCAAATGTTGGCTCTACTATTGTATGTTGGGAGACCTCAGACGACTCACAACATTGACCTCTGTTTCCTCAATCATAAAATTCAGATGGGGGATGGCTACTCTGTGTCTCATGGCATAATTAGAAGAATTGAATCAGCTTATGACTCTAAAGTGCCTGGCAATCCTAGCTTCCAGTTGGTCTTTCCTTTTTTCCCCTCCTTCTCATTCTTCTCTTGTGTTGGTCCCTCCTCTGCCCCTGGTCTTTTTCCTCCTCCTCTATCGTCACCATAATCAATACCACCATTGCCATCCTCATCACCACCACCACCATCATCATCATCACCACCATGATCATTGCCATCATCATCACCATCACCAAGCAAGACAAAATATCAACATTAACAGGAGTTTGGAAGAAAGATTTCTCTGTAGCACGTGACGCTCTTTGATAGCATTCTGCCCACAGTAGAACTTCTTTCAAAATTGGAATCAGTCCTCTCAAACCCTGCTGCTGCTTTATCGACAAAGTTAATGGAATATTCTAAATCCTTTGTTGTCATTGCAATAATATTCACAGCATCTTCACAGGAGTAGATTTCATCTCAAGAAACCACTTTCTTTGATCATCCATAAAAAAGCAACTTCTCATCCATTCAGGTTTGATCATGAGATTGCAGCAATGCAGTCATATCTTCAGACTCTACTTCTAATTCTAGTTCTCTTGCTATTTCTACCACATCTGCAGTTCCTTCTTCCACTGAAGTCTTGAACTCCTCAAAGTCGTCTATGAGGGTTGGAATCAACTTCTTCCAAACTCCTGATAATGTTGATATTGTGACCTCCTCCCATGAATCAAAAATATGTTGAGTGGCATTTAGAACAATGAGTCGTTTCCAGAAGGTTTTCAATTTATTTTGTCCACCTCCATCAGAGGAATCACTGTTTATGGAAGCTGTAGCCTTATAAAATGTGTTTCTTAAATAATAAGACTTGAAAGTTGAAATTACTCCTTGATTCATGGGCTGCAGAATGGTTGTGTTAGCAGGCATGAAAACGACATTAATCTCCTTGTACTCCATCGGAGCCCTTGGGTAACCAGGTACATTATCAATAAGCAGTAATATTTTCAAGCGAATCTTTTTTTCTGAGCAATAGGTCTCAATAGTGGGTTTAAATGATCAGCAAACCATGCTGTAAACCGATGTACTGCATCCAGGCTTTATTTTTCCATTTATAGAGCACAGGCAGAGTAGATTTAGCATCATTCTTAAGGGCCCTAGAATTTTCAGAATGGTAAATGCGCACTGGCTTCAACTTAAAGTCACCAGCTGCATTAGCCCGTAACAATAGAGTCACCCTGTCCTTTGAAGCTTTGAAAACAGGCATTGCCTTCACCTGTCTAGCTATGAAAGTCCTAGATGGTATCTTCTTCCAACAGAGGGCTGTTTCATCCACATGGAAAATATCTTACTTAGTGTGGCCACCTTCATCAATGACCTTAGCCAGATCTTCTGGATAACTTGCTGCAGCTTCTCCATCAGCACCTGCTGCTTCACCTTGCACTTTTATGTTATGGAGACAGCTTCTTTCCTTAAACCTCATGCATTAACCTCTGCTACCTTCAAGCTTCTTTCTGAAGCTTGCTCACCTCTCTCAGCCTTCACAGAATTGAAGACAAGTAGGGCCTTGCTCTGGATCAGGCTCTG
Source organism: Homo sapiens (assembly GCF_000001405.40). Taxonomy (NCBI): domain Eukaryota; kingdom Metazoa; phylum Chordata; class Mammalia; order Primates; family Hominidae; genus Homo; species Homo sapiens. The sequence continues at coordinate 36,842,137 of NC_000022.11, read as the reverse complement.
GCTTAAGGGAATGTTGTGGCTGGTTTGACTTTCTATCAAGACCACTCAAACTTTCTCCATATCATCAATAAGGTTGTTTCACTTTCTTATCATTCGTGCGCTCACTGGAGTAGAACTTTTAATTTCCTTCAAGAACTTTTCCTTTGCATTCACAACTGATCTAACTGTCTGGTGCCCATCTTTTGGCCTATCTCAGCTTTTGGCATACCTTTCTCACTAAGTTGAACCATTTCTAGCTTTTGATTTAAAGTAAGAGACAGGACTTTTCATTTCATTTAAACACTTAGAGGCCATTGTAGGCTTATTAACTGGCATAATTTTAATACCTTTGTGTCTCAGGGAATAGAGAGAGAGAGAGGGAATGGCCATTCCATGGAGCAGTGAGAACACACACAACATGTATCGATTAAGTTTGCCATCTTACATAGTCATGGCTCATGGAGCCCCAAAGCAATTACAATAGTAACATCAATGATCACTGATCACAGACCACCATAACAGATATCATAATAATGAAAAAGCTGAAAATATTGCAAGAATTACTAAAATGTGGCACGGAGACATGAAGTGAGCACACGTTCTTGGAAAAATGGCACCGATAGACTTCCTGGGTGCAAGGTTGCCACAAAACTTCAATTTGTGAAAAATCCAATATCTGCAAAGTGCAACAAAGCAGAACCCAATCAAAGGAGGTGTGCTTGTATTTTGAAATGAACATTCATTTGGGAGACTATTCATACATTTATTCATATAATAAAGTCATATAATACATTAAAAATAAAAGAATATTTGGAGGCTTACCTCCTAGTGGTGGAATTGCTGGAACAAAGGGCATGTGCAGCTTTTTCTTTTGTTTTTTTTTTTTTAGATGGAGTCTTGCTCTTTCACCTAGGCTGGACTGTGGGTGCAGTGGTGTTAGCTCACTGCAACCTCGGCCTCCCAGGTTCAAGCAATTCTCCTGCCTCAGCCTCCCAAGTAGCTGGGATTACAGGCACCTGCTACTATGCCCGGCTAATTTTTGAATTTTTAGTACAGATGGGGTTTCGCCATGTTGGCCAGGCTGGTCTTGAACTCCTGACCTCAAGGGATCCACCCACCTTGGCCTCCCAAAGTGCTCGGATTACAGGCGTGAGCCACCATGCCCAGCCACATGTGCATTTTTAATTTGGATGGAAATCTCAAAATTTCCCTCCTAAAATAGAAATTTACATTTTCTTAATTCATTGCCATCACTGAATACAACTGTACTTAAACATTTTTGACCATCTGATAAGTTAAAAAAGTCTCTGATTTTGGTTTGTATTTCTCTGATGGCAGAGGAGGCTGAGTATATTTTCATACATTTATTGGCCTTTTGTATTTTGCATTTGTATTATTGGCCTCCTGTCTGTGCCTTAGGACCCTCCTTTCTATTGGACTGTTCATCTTTTTCTTATTGATTATGAGCTATTTGTAAATCAACAGCATTGGTCTTTTTTCTAGCACTTGTCTGAAAGTATTATTTGGCCATTTTGTTGTTTGCTTTGAACTTGGTCCATGGCATTTTTTTTTAACTCTCACACAAGTTTTAATTTGCTACAGTAATGTTTGTCAATCTATTTGTTTATGGTTTCTGGGCAGACTCATGTCTTCAGAGCTGTCCCTATCCTTGCCAGCAGGTTGAAGGAATTTCCTGGGTGGCTAGGTGACATGGCAGCCACTGGATGTGTCCCCAGGCTCGCCCTCCGCCACCTCCATGTGGAGATGCCGCCCCTCAGAAGATTCAGCAAACACAGCCCCTTGGCCTGCTCCAAGAAGGTGGCTGCCCCGCCTTTCACAGCCAAATTCAGGATGCACCTGGCTTTCGTTTTCCCCTGACATCCAGCTCCTTTTAAGGAGCTATGCATCTTATACGTTTCTTAATCCCCCAACTAAATTTACCAGCTGTTGCTCACAGCCAAGACATCAGCTAAATTAAACTTTGGAGTGGCAAACACGGTGTATCAGATGCACTTCAGTGAGCCATGGTGGGAGCAGCCACGCCCCATCTGTCCTGAGGGCTGGGGGTCATGCTCTCCCTTCCCTCCTGGAATCTGGCCACAGCAGCATCTTCCTTCCCTCAGAAGCACTAGGGTCCCGCCACTGGAGGACCATGGGTGTATTGAGTTACTTCCACCATTGAAAAGATTCTTCCTTTCATTCTACAGGTATTTACTGAGGGCTCAATTATTGACAGGCACTGTTGTGGCAGTGGGGAAACACCTGAGGTTTTCTTTCTCGTGACAGAGAGAAATGAGGAACAAATGAATGTATAATCCACAGTTGAGCAGCAAGAGAGCCTCGGAGCAAGGGAAGCAGATAGAGAGAGAAGTGAGGGTAGGGCTGGGTGTCTCTTCGGACATGGTGGCCGGGGAAGGCCTCTGATGAGGTGACATTTGTGTAGAGACTGGAATGAGGTCCTAGACACAGCCATGTAGGTATCTGGGGGAGAAGGTTCCAAGGCATGTTCTAGAACCAGCAGGGCAACTAGCAGTGAAGGAGGAAGGGCTGGGTGGGAGGAGAGGTGGAGCGAGTTGTGGGAAGATGCTAGCATTCTCCTCCATGTGCTATGGGAAGTGAGTCAAGGTTTGAGAATTGGGAGAAGGGTGAGGTGTTTTCCATCTGAAGTGTGTTTGGTTTGCATTTACCCTCTATGACAGCTTAGGCACAGGAAAGGTCAGACGTGGATTGATGGTGAAAAAGAACTGATGGGCCGGGCGCAGTGGCTCATGCCTGTAATCCTAGCACTTTGAGAGGCCGAGGCAGGCGGATCCCCTGAGGTCAGGAGTTTGAGACCAGCCTGGCCAACGTGATGAAACCCCGTCTCTACCAAAAAAAAAAAAAAAAAGAAAGAAAAAAAATAGCAGGGCATGGTGGTGCATGCCTGTAGTCCCAGCTACTCAGGAGGCTGAGGCAGGAGAATAGCTTGAACCTGGGAGGCGGAGGTTGCAATGAGCCGAGATAGCACCACTGCACTCCAGCCTGTGATGGTGAGAATTCAGGCACCCCAGAGCAGCTCCTGGGGATCCTTTGAGTGAGCAGAGTGGGTATGCCCTATGCTGCTCCTGTCACATATTGGGTTTGTGGGTGAAACTCTCCCTGCTCTGGACACACTCACAAAGCAGGAAGGTCTACCTGGCTGGAACCTGCATCCCTGTTCTCTGGAGGGAGGAAGCCCTTCCCTCACACCTGGACACTCAGGCCCAGCAGGCTCTCTGCTTGGGTCCAGCTGTGACCCTGTGTCCTGCTGCAAGGCCCCAGCTGCTCAGCCTGGCCTCTGAGGACCTGCCGGATTGGCAGGGACTGGCCGTCCTGGGCAGACACCGCAGACTGGGGCTGGCCCTCAGTGCTGAAGGCTCCTGAGTTGAACTGGCCAGCACACCGAGGCTGGCCAAAAGTGCAGCCCAGCACCAGCTTGCGAGGAGGCTCCCAGGAGAAACAATTAGAAAGCATCACAAAACACCTGGCGGACAACAGGGGCTGGAGAAATGCCAGCTCCTGCTCCAGTCACACACAGGCTCAGGCAGCATAACAGCCGTGAGACACACACGCCACCCAGGTGGTGTTGAAGACAGGCAGGGACCACCTAGGTGGTGTTGAAGACAGGCAGGGACCACCCAGGTGGTGTTGAAGACAGGCAGGGACCAGCCCAGGAGGAGCCTGACCAGTTGCTAACTTGACAACCTTACTCACACACACACACACAGACACACACACACCACACACACACAGACACACACATACACACACACCACCCCCCCACACACACATCACACACACACATACACATACATACACCACACACACACACATACACAGACACACACACACACACTGCCCCCACACACTGCCCACACGCACATACAAACACACAGACATACACCACCCACACACACACACACACACACCACCCCCCCCCCCCACACACACACACCACACACACACAGAGTCGGCTCCATATGAATAGGCTCTGATATGGTTTGGCTGTGTCCCCATCCAAATCTCATCTTGAATTGCAGCTCCCATCATTCCCATGTGTTGTGTGAGAGACCAGTGAGAGATAATTGAATCATGGGGTCGCATCTTTCCCCTGCTATTCTCATGATAGTGAATAAGTCTCACGAGATCTGATGGTTTTGTAAAGGGGAGTTTCCCTGCACAAGTCCTCTTCTCTTGTCTGCCTCCATATGAGATGTGCCTTTCACCTTCTGACATGATTCTGAGGGCTCCCAGCCATGTGGAACTGTGAGTCCAATAAACCTCTTTCTTTTGTAAATTGTCCAGTCTCAGGTATGTCTTTATCAGCAGTGTGAAAATGGACTAATACAGGCCCCATCACTCATTTCTGCAGAGTAAGGGCCCTGAGGCCCAAATATCACTCCCAGGATTCCATTGTTAAGCCCCAATTCCACCATTAAATTCCACTTGGATCACAGATGCTGCACATACACAACCATGGCCAAGCCTCTCAATTTTATGTTTATTGAACATGCAGAACAGCAGACATCACTAAAAAGGCGTCTCAGTCATGCCCAGTGTTCCAGTAAATTGGAGGTAGAAATTATGCCAATCAGAAAAAATACTGCCTTTTTGGCAATCACCAAATCACTAAAGCTTTATGTGTGTAGTCGTACTATTGGAGCATCTGCAGATGTCACACATGTAAATGCAACATGGTGGTCAATTAGAAAATCAACTCAATGTTTCTTTTAACAGATTCCTTAAGCTTCCTACATAAATCTCACTCCAAATTAACATTAGCTTTCCAAAGAGAAAAGAGCATTCTGTGACCATTTCCACTGCAATTTAATTCTTTTTTAGTTCTCAGAATGATGGCAAGGCCATCAGGAGTGAGGATGATGGCTCAGCATTTTTGGGGCCTCCTGAATATATCAAAGGGAGAAGCTAGAGGTTAAAACAGCCCTCAAAAGAGGAGCCTGTCATGTCAAAGGAATGTGCAGGAAGGCTGAGCAGAATTAATTTCCTCCTGGTATAAAATATTCCTTCTGATCATAAATAAATCTGCTCAGAAGTAACTCCAGCAAACCACGAAACTGTTTCGAGGGGGCTAAGTGGCAAATCACAGCTTTGATGGTGACAAAAGAGAAAGAAAGTGAGATCACTAGATTCAACTTTGTCCTTTCCTTGCATTCTTCAAAAGCAAAATCCCCAGCCTCCCTCCTCATCTCCCCCCACCCAAGAACTGCACATTTCTCATGGCCTAATATGAACAAAACGGTTTATGACCAGATGAGCAGACAGCCAGATAACTCTAAGGAAGAAAGAGGGCAGAAAGGCTAAGATGAAGACACAGGGTGGAGAAACTCTGCCTGGCTCCAGCTGCCTCTCTCACGTCCACCATCCTGCATCTGGCAACAGGAGTTCCCCAGTTGTCACGGGGGATGCTCCAGCTGAAAGGGTCCAGGAGCTATAGGACAATAGGACGTTACAGGCCTCTTCTTCCCACCTTGGAGAGAAGGCTCAATGAAAGAATCTTGTTTGCCTTTTATTTTTCCATTGTGTATTTCTTTTTTTTTTTTTTTTTTTTTGAGACAGAGTCTCGCCCGGTCACCCAGGCTAGAGTGCAGTGGCACAATCTCGGCTCACTGCAACCTCCACCTCCTGGGTACAAGCGATTCTCCTGCCTCAGCCTCCCGAGTAGCTGGGATTACAGGCTCATGCCACCATGCCCAGCTAATTTTTGTATTTTTAGTACAGATGGGGTTTCACCATGTTGACCAGGCTGGTCTTGAACTCCTGACCTCAGATAATCTGCCCACTTCAGCGTCCCAAAGGGCTGGGATTACAGGGGTGATCCACAGTGCATTTCTTGAATGTATTTGGCCATGGAATGCTCTATTCATCAAACATCTGTAACGGTCTGTTATAATGCAATTATTTCCATCTCAGTTTTAGCTGAGGGTCTATGATAAGAGCTGCCACCTGTTCTCACATTCCAAAGTGAGATTCCAGTCCCTGAAACTTGCGTGATTGTTTGTTACTGCAGCACAACTGAGTCCATGCGGACTGATACAGATGAGCACCAGACACGAGCCTTGCCCATCAGACACTGTTGCCTGCATATTTCAAACGGGACATTTTTTTCTTAAAGGGCCAGATAGCAAACAGGTTTTGTGGGCCATGGCTCATTTGGCCACAGACTATAGTTTGCTAAGCCCTGTTCTAGACCCCTCATGCTGGACTTGCAAAGGAGAAGGTAAAAAACCAGTTTCATGGCTCTTGGCTTTTCATGCATTGGAAGGTATAAAAGGGTTAAAATTGCAGAGGTAGAGAAGTCGAAGTATGCAGGTTGTTCTTTAGAGAGAGCTCTTGGGGTACTATGATCCCCAACCCTAAAGAGAAACTGTTAGGTGTAGTTCAATGGTCTATTACCATGGAAAACCCACCCTAAACATCAATCTTCAATGGTAGATTATCTGTAAGGACTCTTCAGGTTGGTAGCCGGATAGTCGCTTTGCTGCTGCTGGTGCCATCTGGGGTCACTCATATGACTGCACTCAGCTAGGATTTTGGCTGCCACTGGAAGCTCAAGGTGGTGACACGTCCCCCTTTCCCACCACAGGTTCCCCTCACACCAGGCTCCAGCTAGGCCAGGGGCAAAGCTTTACCTCTGAACAGAGTTTGGGGTTTTGATTATTAAACAAGACTGGACATGCTAGTTATCTAACTGACAGATATGTGTGGCCACCAGCACGGAAAGCTTTTTATTACCTGAGTAAAAAGATTTCCTCCAGGACTAGGGAAAGGACTAGACCTACAACATCAGAGCCAGGGCAGGGGGAGGTACATTACTTTCTGGTTATCCCCATTCAGTTGATGTGACACTTATCACATTTCCCAAGCAATGTCTCTGGAATAGAAATAGGTACATATTTAAGTAACCATATGGAAATAGGTACATATTTAAGTACGCATGTGTACCTACTTCCATTCCAGAGACATTGCTGGGAAAAGACGCTCAGGGAAAATTAGGATGTGCTGGAGCCTCTAACACCAGCAGACGCTGGTTCTCATGGTGGTGTGTGAGCTCTCATTTCTTGCTCCATCTATGAGACTCTACTCCCACACCCTGTGGACAAGGTACAAGTCCACATACCTGTACGACGATATGGTGGCTCATTGCACAGGATTTGAGGTCAAAAAAATCAATGTTCTGGCCAGGCTTGATTGCTGGCGCCTGTAATCCCAGCACTTTGGGAGGATCGCTTGAGCTCGAGTTCAAGACCAGCCTAGGCAACATAGCAAGACCCCATTTCTACAAATAAAATAAAATAAAATAAAATAAAATAAAAACCTAGGTTTACATCCTAACGATTTTCCAATTATTATCCATGGGATCTGTAATAATTCATGTTTCCTCTGAACTTTAGTTTTCTTATCCATAAACTGGGGATAATGATGTCTCCCTTACAGGGTTGTTAGGAGAATGAAATGAGATAATCATGCAAAGCATTCAGCTGGTGTGGAGGAAATCCTTGTCACCATGTCAGTGTCTAATGCTATAAATGGGGAGAACCGCATCTGTTTGGAATTGCTGTATACACACATATTCTGCTCAGGAAAGCCATCAGCAGAAGCTGCTAACATTGGCTGCCTTTGGGGAGGGAAGCGCGTGGCTGAGAAGAGGCAAGAGGAAGACTTTTCACTGTTTAACTCTTGTACCTTTTGAATTTTGAAGCATATAAATGTATTAATTATTCTAAACATAAACTTAAACTTAAAATCTTTCTAATATTTTATTATGAAAGTTTTCAAACCTACAGAAAAGTTGAAAGAATTTTAAAATGAGCACCATGTACCCACTGCTGTGGATTGGCCATGACCATTCTACTATACTAGTTTTATCTCATATCTATTAAATTTTTAAAATAAAATGAGCCTATCTCTGAGGTCTAGGGAAGTTTCTTTACTTATTAGGGTCTGTATGTTCCCTCTGTGAAATGCGAAATGTGGGGTATTATCCCTGTTACTTACCACACCCAGGGTAAATCTGAGTGGGCTGTTGGCTGTCTTGCCTATATGTCATGAGCATCCCTTGGGGTGGCTTCCTGGCTTAAAACAGTCCTCTCTCTCTCTCTCTCTTTTTTGAGACTGGGTCTCACTCTGTCACCCAGGCTGGAGTACAGTGGTGTGATCTCAGCTCACTGCAACCTCCACCTCCCAGGTTCAAGTGATCCTCCTGCCTCAGCCTCCCGTGTAGCTGTGATTACAGGCACACACCACCACACCCGGCTAATTTTCTTATTTTTAGTAGAGACGTGGTTTCACCATGTTGGCCAGGCTGGTCTTGAACTCCTGACCTCAGATGATCCACCCGCCTCGGCCTCCCAAAATGGTGGGATTACAGGTGTGAGCCACCGTGCCTGGCCCAGTTCTCTCTCCTTGAAAACAACCCCACCACACGTGTGAACTCCAAGTGGCTACAGGTGCACCACAGCCTCGTCCCCCTCCAACTTCACCCCTGGCAGTAACCCAGGGATGGTGGAGTGGATACCCTGCCACTTACTGCTATTTCTGATTCTTCTCCCCTCCAGCCTCAGAGGGGCTCTCTACTTCCTGCCCTTTTGATGTGGAGCCTCCCTCAGCCTGGATTGTTGAGTTGTTACAAGGAGGTCACTTGCCCTGGAAAGTCATCTGGATCCAGAGTGGACTTCATGTGAGTGTGAAATAAGCCTTTGTTTTGATGAGTCCCTGAGACTTAGGGGATTGTTTTTACTGCAGCACAACTGAGTCCATGCGGACTGATACAGATGAGCAGCTGACATGAACCTGGCCCATCAGACACTGTTGCTTGCATGTTTCAAACTGGAATTAAGGGAAGTGAAACAGTCCTTTGCTGGTGACAAAGCTGTCAACCGGAAGCTTGGGAGCAATTAATTAGAAATGAGACTTCCTTCTATGTAGATGAAGCCAATCAGAGAGAATTCAGCCTTTGGGAGAAAAGATGTGTGTGTGTGTGTGTATGTGTGTGTGTGTGTGCGTGTGTGTGTGTGTGAGAGAGAGAAAGACAGAGACAGAGACAAAGAGAGAGAGGTAGCATTTAAGGCCCAGAATCTCTGACTCTAGTTGTTTACCCCCATAGACTACTGGTAGACTTTTTTCCTTCCAGCTTTGAATGGGGAAAGAAAGAGTAATCAAGCTATTTTCCCATTCTCTAGGAGATTAAGAAAAAGCCTTCGGCAAGATCAAGACCATCCTGGCTAACACAGTGAAACCCCGTCTCTACTAAAAATACGAACAGTTAGCCAGGTGTGGTGGCATGCACCTGTAGTCCCAGCTACTCAGGAGGCTGAGGCAGGAGAATCACTTGAACCCATGAGGCGGAGGTTGCAGTGAGCTGAGATCGCGCCACTGCACTCCAGCCTGGGTGACAGAGAGAGACTCTGTCTTAAAAAAAAAAAAAATGTCTTCAGCGATCTTTAAGTCCAGGGCAAATGGTGCTTCTGAATGCCTTGTCTCAAATGAGCTGAGGATACTTCCTGGGGTGCATGGAATAGGCCCATTTCTGTTGTAAGTCACAGAAAAACCAACTTAGGCTCGTTCAAGCAGAAAAGGAGAATTTCCTAGCTCATGGAACTGAAAAATCTCAAGAGTAGGTCTGACTTCATGGACAGGTACATTAGATGTTTTTGTGGAAGAGGGCTGGAGTCAGGGGTCAGAATCTAAATTGATTAAGGATTCTCACTCTGGTTCTGCTGATCTGTTTTTCTGGAAAATTATGAACTGATACCGAATCATAGCCATATTCATTTCTACAGTCCCAGTGGTTACTTTAGCTCTCTTTATCCATCCATCTTCTCCTCGCCTTTCAAGGCCCAGATCCAAATCTGGCTCTTCTGAGAAGCCTCCCTTACTGCCCCTGTTTCGAAGGTCTCCACTTTTCTCTGAGTCCCCGTTGCATTCAAAGTCTTTCCATACTTGTAGTCAAGTCAAAGGCCCATATAACCTTTGGCTTGAATTCCACTTAGAGTACGTTCAGATAAAAAATTACAAGCTAAGGGCAAACTCTGCATAGAGCTCTGTGTTTTACATTTTTCAAACATTTCCACTTGCTGTTCATCCATCCATCCTTCTGTTCATTATCCGTCATCCATCCATCCATGCACTCGTTGAAACCAGCAATGACCTACTACCTACAATATGCATGTCCTGTGCTGGATCCTGGGAGTACAGCGATGCATATGACACACTTGTCACCCTCAGTGAGTTCATGACCTAATTTAGGCAACAAACATGTTGTAATCATATCAACAAGAAGAAGAAGAAGAAGAAGAAGAAGAAGAAGAAGAAGAGGAAGAAGAAGAAGAGAAGAAGAAGAAGAAGAAGAAGAAGAAGAAGAAGAAGAAGAAGAAGAAGAAGAAGAATCATATTAACAAGAAGAAGAAGAATCATTGTAATCATTATTATCAACAACAAGAAGAATCATTGATACTTAATGAGCACTTTCTTTGTGCCAGTCACCGTGCTAAGCAATTTGCATGCACTATCTTAGTCCTAACAACAACTTCATAATGTATGAGCCAGTGCTTCATTTATCTATTGCTTTACAACAAACTACAACAAAACATAGTAGCTTCAAACAACAATTATTTTATCATCTCTCTAAATTCTGTAATCTGAACTGGGCTCAACTGGGTGCTTCTTCTGTTCTTGCCTGTGGTCACTCATGTGGCTGCAATCAGCTGAGGGTGGCCTCAGCTAGGACACTGGGAAGCTGGGCTTTAATCTCTCTGTGTGGTCTGTGGGCCTCTCATTCTCATGTGACATCTCCATATGGTCTCTCCAGCAGGGCATCTGAATTTTACCTGGCATATCTGGGCTCCCAAGAGCATGGAAGCTGTCAGGACCTCTTCAAGCTTAGAACCAGAGCAGGCACAGTGTCCCTTCCACCCCATTCCATTGTTGAAAGCAAGCTGCAAGCCCCAACCACAGCCAAGAAAATGTGGCAATAAAGCAAGTTGCAAGGACCATCTACAGTCAAGGAAAGGTGGCAATACAAAGGTATGAACACTTAAAAGCACGGTTTATCAGAAACCACTGATATAATAGACTACCACAGTCAAGATTCTTTCTATTGCAAGTGAAATAAACTTGACTCGTACTAACTAAAGGTTTTTTTAAAAAGTGGATTGGGGAAGGATGATTTATTGGCTTTGTAACTGAAAGCCCAGGTGTGCATTTGTCTATAGGAATGGCTGGATCGAGGGGCTCATTGATATCATCAGGGTTTTATCTTTCTTTTCATTTCTCAAACAGATTCCCTCTTTGTAGTGGGTAAGATGGCTGCCCACATTTCTAGAACCGCATCCTATCAGCTCAGCAAGCATACAAAGGTATGAATACTTAAAAGCATGGTTTATCAGAAACCACTGATATAATAGACTACCACAGTCAAGATTATTTCCATTGCAAGTGAAATAAACTTCACTCATACTAACTAAAGATTTTTTAAAAAATGGATTGGGGGAGGATAAAGTAGGTGGGTTATACCCATTTGACAGATGGGGAAACTGAACTCGAGAAGTCAGAGCATTTCCTCATGTTCAGTGGTAAGTTTAGAATTTGCAGAATGTTTCCTTCCATTACAATGTGTAGGCAGGGAGAGAGGAGGGAGTTCAGGGGTCAGTCTGTGTTTTTGGCTTATGCAGCTGAGGTTTCTGTAATCACATGTGGATCTGGAATTTTAATACTACTTCCATCCTGGAATTTGCAGTCGCCAGGGAGCTGCTTGCTCAGGGCTCCTCAGCCTGGGCAGTGGGGCCCTCACCTACCCCTCGCTCCAAGGTCACTCAACTATGGGACCGGACTTTGCCCTGGCCCTGCAGAATAATCCTGGTCACTCTCCTCACCCTTGCCTCCCACCATCTGGAGGTGGAGGGGCACGATCCACGACGTGTGGTCTGACTGAATTCAAGTGGGGGCATCACTTCCTTCCCAACACTCCCCCACCTGATACCTGCTCACCCTTCAGCCTGCAACACCAAGAAATGGAACTCTTTCTTGCTTGCTTGCTTGTCTGCAACACACTTTAAGAATTTGGGTAGCAATCTGGCATTACTGAAAGTTCATTTACTGAAGCATCTTTTCAGAATCTGGCAAAGGTTGAATGTATGTATATTTATATTACAGGACATTATTATCCAGTAAGGTGTGTATATTACACAAGCAGGGAATCATGGTGATCTGCCTGGTATGGCGGCCTCTTATTGGCGCATTGTGTGACCCACTCTCTGCTTAAGTTGTTGAATTCATGTATTCATTTCACTCTCACAACACTTGAGTGGAGGACTCTCAGGAGTCCCACTTGACGGAAGTGGAAACGGAAGCTCAGGGAGGTCAAGTCTCTCTGCAAGTGTCACACAGCTAGAGCTGGCAGCTGAGACTGAATATTCTTTCATTTCCACTGTGTAACAGCAGCAGTCACCACTGACCCCAAATGCTCACCCCCCCAGGACTCATCTCCTCTCTGCCTCAGCTACTCCTCACCCCCCACCCCACACCAGCTGGGCACCCCCAGTGGACACCAGGTTGCCCTACAGCCAAGACATTCTTTCCATTCTAGTGCTCATATGGTTGGTGAGATTGTTTGAAAATATTCAGACATGGCCAAAACTAGGAGAAAAGCAAAACCAATATAATGCAAATAATAATACGTACAAAAGTTCAAAGACTCACAGGAGATGTGATAATACATCCAAGACTCCTTGGCACAGCCCCATAAGGAAAATATTATTTTCATTCTTCAGATGTGAAACTGTTGTTCCTAAAGAGTAAGTAATTTGTCCCAAGGTCACAGAGCTAGCAGGTTGGCTGAGCCAGATATTGAACCCAGGTCAATGTGGCACCGAAATCAACGCAGTTTCCTTTCCACCCTGCTGCGAAAGGGCCCCTGAGCTCGACAAGCTCATAGTCATGTTGGGAGAAGACAGTTCCATGGATAATTGCTCCACAGCAATGATCACAGTAAACACAGGTCAATATGAGAGTGGTATGTGAGCAGGGAGAAGAAATCAAGGAGGGCTTCTGGGAAGAGGTGATGCCTAAGCTGAGTCATACAGGATGAATGGCAGGTGCAGTAAGCCTACAGGAGGGAGGAGGCAGGACAACGCCAGAGGAAGTAGCATGCTGTCACTGCCAGCCATTACTGCAAGCCATTGTCACAGTGGTCTATGTTACCCTTCAGGGTAAACAAAAGGTAACGTCTCCCTTGTATATGACTCACATGGCTATATCAGTGATATGGTTTGGCTCTGGGTCCCCACCCAAATCTCATGTCAAATTGCAATCCCCAGTGTTGGAGGAGGCGCCTGGTGGGATTGACTGGATCATGGGGGCAGTCTTTAATGGTTTAGCACCACCCGCCTAGGGCTGTCTTGTGATCGAGTTCTCCTGAGATCTGCTTGTTTAAAAGTGTGTGGCACCTCCCCACCCTTTCCTCCTGCTCCCACCTTGTAAGGCGTGCTGGCTTCCCCTTCGCCCTTCCACTATGATTGTAAGTTTCCTAAGGCCTCCCTAGAAGCAAAAACCTGTACAGCCTGCAGAACCGTGAGTCGATTAAACCTCTTTTCTTTAGAAATCACCCAGTCTCAGGTATGCCTTTACAGCAGTGTGAGAAAGGACTCATACAATCAGTAAAAGTGACGGTCATCTGATATGCTGTCATCTATCAGATTCACTACGAATCTTGTGGGGAGAATAGGAGATGTTTTAACTGAAGTGAAATTCATACAACATAAAATTAACCACTTTAAAGTAGACAATTCAGTGGCACCTAATGCCTTCAGGGTTCAGAGTGTGCAGAATGTTGTACAACCACCACTCTATCTGGTTCCAAAACATTTTTATCAGCCCACGATGCAGTGACCTCAACACTCATTAAGTAGCTGACCTCAACAAGCTCATAGGTTGAGAGCAGACAATTCCATGGATAATTGTTCCACAGCAATGATCCTAGTAAACAGAGGTGAACATGAGGCTGGTGTGTGAGCAGGGAGAAGGAATCAAAGAGGCCTGAGCATCACCTCTTCCCAGACGCCCTCCTTGATTCGTTGGTGCCACATTGACCTGGTTCCAATAAAGCCCATTAAGCAGTTACTCCCTATTCCTCCTTCCCTCCAGCCCCCGCTTTTTGTCTCTAGATTGACCTAGTCTGGATATTTCATACATATATGTAGTGTGACCTTTTGTGTCTGGCTTCTTTCACTGAGCATCATTTAGTATTGTACACATTTTCTAGTTGAGGAGGAGAGGGTAGAGCTCACACTGTGGTCTAAAGTTGACACAGCATCTCCTGCTCTCTCTCCCTTCTACCTTGTTCTCATCCCTTTAGACATGTCCTGCCATCCTTTGAGGGCCCAGAAGTCAGATCCACAGGCCTGGGTGAGTCCCTCCTCTGCCATTTTCCTTGGACATCTTATGCCCTCTCTGAGCCTCAGGCTTCCCATCTGTCAAATGTAATGATTGACAAATAATGTGAATATACCTAACAGGACTGAATTCTACACTTACAAATGGTTAAGACGGTGAATGTTGTGTGTTTCTTTTACCATAATTTAAAAAGTAATACAAGGGAAAACCTTTAGAAAATGAGACGGTTGGATTGGTGGCTAAGGGCCCCTAATCCTGTAGAATTGTGAGACCAAGCATTCATGATTGAGACTTAGGGAAAAGAAAGGCAAGACAAGGAGGCAAAAGGGAAAGGAACAAAGGAGGAGAGACATAGCGGTGGGAGGAGGAGGAGGAGGAGAGGAAGGAGGAAGGAAAGGGGGAGGGCAGTTCTGCTGCCTCAGTTCATTTCCTCTCTGCCTCGATTGGTGTTTGTGTTTATTTCTCAATTCTCAGCCATTGTCATTCTGCAAACCTTGGTCCTAAACCCCAACATGAGCTGTGGGTTAGTCTGCAGTATTGAAACAAAATGGGAACTATTGGATTTTCAAACTGATTCAGCCTCTGAATTTAAAAACATTTTTTTCTCAGTCAAATGTGACCCAGAATCAGGATGGAAGCAATAAATATTTAATAAGAAAAAACTGGTTCAACAATGTCCTTAAAACACATTAGCTGTATTAACCTGGGGCCTTTACATTGGTACCAACATCAAGCATCCCCCTATTGGCTGAAGGAACACCAAGGCAGATAGCGATCGTACATTCTGGATTTGCTCAGCCGGTTTCAAATACCCAGCTCCCTGTTCCCCAGAGCACCCTCCCTTATCGAAATGTGAGCTGCCATTTTGGATCAGGAATTAAGATTCCTGGGGACAGGAGGCTATAGTTCCCAGGGAAGGTCACAGTTCCTGGAAGACTAATTACACACCAGCAGGTGCCTCTAAAGTGCAGGTGAATAAATGGATTTCGACAGCACTGTAAGTAGGAATCCAAGAATGTCTTAGAGAAGAACCACTGTACACGCAGAGCCAAACATAAAAATATCCCCCATTTGATTTATTCTCCTTGGAGTCCGTCCTGGAAAGAAGCTGAACGCTATGGTGGTGCTTCAAACTCCCAGCAGAAAAGGCAACTGGAAACACAGAGAGAACAAGCAGAATAATAGGAGGCCATTATTGAGGCAAATGCAGAGTTCTAGGAGGGGCACGAGGTCAGGGGGAAGAAACCCAGGAGGACTTCTGGTAAGAGGTGACACCCAAGCTAAAACATGAAGGACGATCAGCAGGTAGATAGTCCAGCAGGAGTGAGAGGGCAGAAAACCTCTGAAATCAATGGTAACCATGGTTGTATTTGGGTAGCAAGGGATTACTGGTGACACGCCCCCCCACCCCCGGCCCTGTTTAGCTCCTCTATTTTCTATTGTTTCTTTAAAGAGTACATGGCATATTTATGATCACATTTTTTTAAAGCAGGGAAATGTCACAGTTTCAAAGGATTTTGAGAGTTTTCATGAGCACATGGGCTGGCATCTGCATTGTGATCACGGGAATGGAGACCCTCTCCTTCATGCGCCCTCAGCAGGCTCTTTCCATCGCCAGGTGTGTTAGCCAGCTTGGGAGCGGGCCTGAACAACAGAAATGGATCCTCTTACCCTTCTCAAGGCCAGAAGTCTGAGATCAAGGTGTTTTCTTCTGAGGCCTCTCTTTGACTGTAAATGGCTGTCTCCTCCCGTGCTTGTCTGTGTCCTAATCTCCTCTGCTTGTAAGGACACAAGTTATATTGGATTAGGACCCATTTTCAACACCTCATTTTAATTTAATCACTTTTGTAAAGATCCTGTCTCCAAATGCAGTCCCATTCTGAGGTACTGGGGGTTAGGGCTTCGACACAGGAATCTGGGGGGAACAAAGGCAGCCCATAGCACTGGGGTGTAGATAAGTGGTTAGAGGTGAGACCTTGATTTTCCCTGTTTGCTATGGGAGAGTTCAGAGCATTAGAACTTGCCTGATTTTGATGCAAAGAAGCCAGATGCTGAAGAGGACACACACGGATTGTTGTAATGGCTCTGAAGGGTCAGCCACTGGCCCTCCCAAGAGCCAAGGAAGAGCACTGGATGGGAGTCCCCAAAAAACACATGGAGGCTGGGTGCAGTGGCTCATGCCTGTAATCCCAATGCTTTGGGAGGCCAAGGTGGAAGGATCACATGAGGCTGGGAATTCAAGGCTGCGGTGAGCTATGATCATGCTACTGCACCCTGTCTCCAAGGAAAAAAAAACAGAAAAAACACACATGCAAACTCGTCATCCTCCCCCTCGACACACATGCAAACACACGCCACACATAGACATGCCATACACAAACACACACCATACATAGACACGCCATACACAAACACACACCATACATAGACACGCCATACACAAACACACACCATACATAGACACGCCATACACAAACACACACCATACATAGACACGCCATACACAAACACACACCATACATAGACACGCCATACACAAACACACATGTATACACCACACACACCTTACACACACACACCACACAGAGACACACCACACACAGAACACACACAGATACACACCACACATAGACACGCCATACGCAAACACACATCTGCATACACCACACACACCTACACACAAACACACCACATAGAAACCCACACAGACACACACCCCATACACAGACACAACATACAGAGAAACACACAGATGCACACCACACACACACTGCAAACACCACACACACCCCCCACACACACCACACACACATACCCCACACACACCACACATAGACACACCACACACACATACTCCCCACACACAGACACACCACACACACCACACACAGATGCATCACACAGACACGCCACACACACCACACACAGACACACCACAGACACACATACCACACACACCACACATAGACACGCCATACACACACACCACACAGACACATATACCACACACACCACACACACACCACACACACACCACACAGACACACCACACACAGACACACCACACATACCACACACAGACACACACCACACATACCACACACAGACACACCGCGCAGATGCAGGCACACACGGACACACACCTCTGTCAAGGACCATTCTACTCTGTTGCAGGGCGTGGGCTGTGCCAGTGATGGGGGCAGGAGGGACTAATGGGGAGGGGACTGAGGAAGAGAGGATACAGTGAGAGGGGACGTCACCTTTTTAATCTAGGACCCCCTTTACGTTTGGAGCTGGGGTGAAGATGCCTTGGGGCCGAGCGTTCTCAAGCCCTGTGGACCAGCCTCCTCCCTCGGCTCCTCCAGGCCCACCCTCCAGTACCACCCAAGAAGGGAGAACCTAGAGACCTCCTCTTTCCAATCCTCTCCGGCCTTCTGAGTACATGCCTCCTTCTTGCGCCCTCAGCCCATGACCTCAGCCATGATCTAGGGGTGCCCTGCTCCCCTTTCACACTCCAGTCCACGTGGGGCCGTAACCCCTTCCCAGGGTTCCTCTGGGCAGCACTGGGATGGGGTGGAGTCTTCCAGGGCAGAACATAAACCCAGGTGGCCAAGAGCTCTGTTCACCCCGGCCCCTTGAGCCCTAACCCACCCTCTTTCCAGAGCCCCAGGCCCTTCCAGACCACAGTGCGTCTGAGCCCCCAGCCCCAGCCCCTTCCAGCATTCACATTCTCTGATTCTCCCCTTCTTCCTCTCCGTGTGGCTCCTCATTTCCCCAGCAAGGACACTGGGTCCTGGCCTTGGAGACCTTCCTGGAGAGTCAGCGGTTTTCAGAGGCCGGCACCCCTGGCTCTCCATGTTTCTATCCATAAAGCTATTCCAGGTCTTCTCATTCAGGGGCAGGCCAGGATCAAGTTCTGCTCCTCACAATGGCAACCCTATTATCATTTGTGTCGGATTTTATAGCCTTTCTCAGACACGATCTCATTTAGTATTCACCACGGCTTCCTCTTTAGCTCCATTTTACAGGTGGAAAAACTGAGGCCCAGAGAGGTGAACCAACTGGCTCAGGATCACACAGTGGGCAAGTGGGTGGAGCCGGGGCAGGGACCCAGGGCCGTCTGTCTGCCTGCCCTTGCCATCCTCACGACTGTGTTCCCTGTGGCCGCTCTCTCCGGAGGAAATCGTGCTTAAGCATGGGTAAGGGGAGGAAAGGGAAACAAGGCCACAGGCTTCCTGAGATCCGGCTCTCAGGAATGCAGCCGAGATTCCTTTGAGTTAATACACATCATCCCACAGGGCTGATCTCATCGATATCATTAGATCCTGCGATGTCCACCCAGCCTGCCGGGGCCCTGGATGTGGGGAACTCTGTATCCTGTTCCCAGCCACAGCAGGTGGAAATAGTGTGAACTCATGAAATAGCAGCAGCGAAGCTAACAGCTGAATACTTATCTCCTGGCAGGCGGCAGCTGAGAGACTGCTGGCCCGCACACACTGGCCTCCTCCCCTCCACCAGCTGGGAGGCCAGAGAGGGCATCAGGGAGAGCACTGGATGTGAGAAGAGGCAGACAGACCAGGCTCTGGTCCTGGCGAACTGCGTGACCTTGGGCAAGTGACTTGACTTCTCTGAACCTCAGTTTGGTTCATCTGTAAAAACTTTTCATCTGTATAAAAGAAAAAGATAGTGGGATCCACTCTGGTAACATATATGTTACTGGAACTATGTGAACGTGATCAGCTAAAGACCACGCCTCATTTTAGGGGATAGAAGGGGGCGTCAGTGTGAGATTGCGGCATCTGCTAGCTACTCAGGGTCCTCCTCCCTGCTCACAGTAAGAAACCCTGAAGCTAGAGGAAAATTCCACTGGGCACTGCTGCTGCCTTTAAGCAGAGGTCCTAGGCGGGTGGAGTCTGTAAGGTCTCACGCAGAGCAGGATGGGCCTGGGTCGGTGGGAGGGGACTTAAGTCCAGGAAAGCAACTTTGGGCCTCAGAGTGAATCATGCTCTAGAAGTTTGATGCAGGCAAACTGTCATTACACTCACCAAGGACTTAGGGCATGAACCTCCCATGTGCCTGGCACACTTGGGCAGCCCCCAGGGACTTACCTCAACAATGACTTCGTGGGCTTTGACTGCTCAAAGCCCCTCACCTCTCTGTCCAGGGACAGTCTCCCTCTCCAGGCCATTCCAATGATGTTGACATTCTGCCTCCTCCAAGCCTGAAGGGTATCCTGTGCCACAGGCCTGTGCTCCCTTTGTAATCAATAGTGACAGGTTCAGGGATGACATGGGCCAAACTGAGCTCATCACAACCAGTGAATGCAGCTCTGGGACTTTTTTTTTTTTTTTTTTTTGAGCGGAGTCTCACTCTGTCACCAGACTGGAGTGCAGTGGCGTGATCTCGGCCCACTGCAATCTCCACCTCCCGGGTTCAAGAGATTCTCCGGCCTCAGCCTCCTGAGTAGCTGGGACTGCAGGCACACACCACCACGCCCAGCTAATTTTTGTATAGCTCTGGGACTTTTGAGCAAACTCTCGGGCTGTAGACTCCCTTTCCCCCAAAGGACTTGGACCTGAAAGTTTGTAGCATTGCAGGGACAGCCATCTTGCCACCCTCAGGGGTCAACCAGTTTGAGAGAGTGGCACAAGGTATTGCTGAGAAGTAAGAGAAACAGCATCTTCCTGACAGCATTTGAGTTCTGGATCAAACCATGCTTGAACCTTCGTGGACTTTTCAGTTGCACGAGTTAGCAAATCCCCCACTGTCTTAAGCCAGCCCAAGTCAGACTTTCTCATCACTTACAGGCAAAAACAGACCTGACTGATAAACCCATTTTCTGGCATCAAGGCCCTTGTATAATTAACCAAATTAATAAAATGAAGCCTGCTTCAATCAGCACAGATTCAGAGCAAAAAAACAAACAAACAAAAAAAAAAAAAACTAGATCATGTTTCCAGATATATGACTCGGGTTTTAGGACATCTCTACCCTACTTTAAGTATTGTAGGGGGAAAGATCCTCCAGAATCAGAAGTGCTCAGTTTAAATCCTAGCTCTCCCACCTACTTCCTACCTGTGTGACCTTAGGTAAGTCACTAAACCTCTCTGAGATTCTATTTCTTCGAACGTCTGAGATAAAGCACATAAAGCACTAGGTACGCAGTAGGTGCTCAATAAATGCACCCCCCCCCCAACACACACACACACACACGATATGGTTCAGCCCATTCAGATTTGCTTAATTAGAGGTACATGAAGAAGACCTATGGGGACAAAGAGGAAGGCCATCTGGGCTCCTGAGAATTCACCCACAGTAGGTGCTGCTCCCGTCTTCCGGTCTTATTCTGGAAGCAGGATAGTGTGGTAGAAAGGAGCAAGTGCTTTGGAGTCAGAGAACCGGGGCTGAAATCCTACCTCCATTCTGTGATCTTAGGCAAGTTGCCCAATCTCTCTGAGCCTTGTTCTTCCATCATTAGTAAAAAAGAGAGGGTTTTGCCTACCTCTTAAGGGGATACAAGAATCAAAGTGCGATGCTGTGCACACAGAACCCAGCACACTGTTCAACAAACAAGTGTAATTATTTTCCCAGGCCCCAGCCAGCGATCTTCCTCAAGGGTTCATCCTCAAGGTTCTCCTGCATCCCGGCTCCCTGAGCTCAGCCATGCCCACGACTTGACGAGATCAACTCCTTGACTTCTCTGATGACAAAGCCCCCAGGGTCCAGCCCTGACCTCACTCCAGAGTTCAGACACATCTCCGCCAGGGTGTCCTTCAGGTCCCCTAAACCCAGCATCAGCTCTTGGCTCTTCCACTACTCTCTGGGGGATTTGGGTAAGTCACCCTGGCCTTGGTTTCTTCATCTATAACATGATGTCATTTGTAGAAGTTTGTAGCCGATCACCACGGAGGCTGTCCCAGCCCTAACATCCTAGGATTCAACACCACTTACTCTATCATCCCTTCGACTGAGCACTACCTCCTCCCTACACTCCCTGCCTTCAAAGTCAACACCTTCCTTCTTCAGCAAACCCCACCTTGAATATTTAGGGTCAGCTTGGATTTGTCCCTCTTGTTCATGCCACAGCCCCAATTCTGGAAGCTTCTCTCCAAGAGGTGCTCCCCTATCTGCACACTCCTTCCTGTTGCCACCACCAGCAACCTAGCTCAGGCCCCAGCACCACACCTCAAGGAGGCCCCAGTCCCAGCTTCCCCCATGCAGCCTGCCCTCGGCCCTTTCTATCCATGGAGCTTCCAAACAGCCTTTGCATGGAGCCTGGGATTCCTCGTGTCACTGTGAAGAACTAGACCCCACCATTGACAATCTTCGTGCCCTGGAGATTCTTTTCAGGTTAGGGATGAGGAGAGGAACATTTCATGGTGGTCAGATTAGATATTCACTACGTATTTATTGAATTCATTTGGTCATTCATGCTTCTCAAAACACATCCCTCAGCTGGTCCTCTCCAATCCAAAACAGACAATGTCAGAGATCTCTTTGCAAATCATGAAGGGCTTGGGCCTTTGTGCCTCAATGTCACACGCATACAATTTCAGGGGGTCCATCTTCCCCTCGCCCTAGACCATCTATAGGGCACAGTTTACCTCTGATTGAGCTCATGTTACAGGTGGAAAGACTGAGAAAGAGAGAGGAAGGGACTTGTCTGAGAATATGCGGAACATTTCCTTCTACCAGGCACTAGATCCTCGCACAAAAGTGCTGAGTCCGCTCCCAACCCCAGGCCCGTGGCTTTGAGCAGCAGGTCACTTAACATCTAACGTCTTTATGCTGTTTCCTCATCTGTGCGAGAGCAGCTATGTCTACCTGGCAAGGCTGTAGTGAGAGATCATATCAGCATAGGAATGGGGCTCAGCCCCATGCACAGAGGACAGTTCTTGTTTCATTCTTTTCCTTGCTGTTTCTCTTCCTTTCCTGGCAGAATATGGAGGAAGGAAGCATCGCTGCCATCTACAGTGGTCACGGAAGGCTTCATGGAAGAGGCGAGCCCTGCCTGGGCCTCAATTTTGGGTGCTGGAGGGAAGCAGGGGCCAAGAGTTATTAATAGTCTTGGCCTGATGGGCCCAGGGAGGCTGAATGTGATACAGACACCCAGCACCACGGTTGGGGAGTACCTGACACCGGAAGGGGAGGGGGCCGGGGCTACGGGGAGTGCCACCTCCCAAAATAGCCAGAGCAGAAGCCTATATAGGTGGCCATCCCACCTCCAGGCTCACTTCCCGACAGGACTTCCCACCAGCCCAGCCTTTCAGTGCAGGCTCCAGCCCTCCACCCCCACCCGAGGTGAGTGGCAGCTACCGAGGTTGGAGGATAGAGGGATGCAGCAGGATGAGCCAGCTGGAAGGGAGAGCTACATCTCCCCTGTCCGTAGTGACCCGGGGAGGGGGGTGCGGTGGGGGTGCTGGAGGCAGGGCAGCTGTGGAATGTAGGGCTGAGAGCATGCATTCCTGCTTCTCCACCCAGACTCCTGGTGTGGCCTGGGGCAAACTCCCCCCACCCACCGCCCCCCGTGGCTGGGCCTCAGATTCCCCAGCCTTAGAACGAGAGGGCTGGAGTCAGACATCTGTGGACTCTGGTGATGCCATCAGAGAGGACCCAGAGGGCAGAGGAGGACTACCCAGGGCTGATGGGCTGACCTAATGACATTGATGCTCTGGCTGGGAGGGCTCAGTCCCGGAGGGGGTGTCAAGTTGATAGGAGAACTCAGCAGCAGGGAGAGATGGAGGAAGGAGATGGAAGAAGAGTGGGCCCCTGTTGAGGCTGCAGCCTTTGCCACAGGGTAGCTGCTTAGGGGCTCACCAGGAGCCAGTGTGTGGCTGAGATGTATGGGACCTGATAGAGCTGGGTCCCAGGCACCAGGGAGGATCACCCAGAGAGTCACTGAACTCCACACGAGTGAGTCCAGGGGTGTACCCTGCTCTGCTATTGCTTTACCATGTGTCCTTAGACCATTCACGGACTCTGTGCCTCCGTTTCTCCACTGGTATAGCTGAAGCGTCCTTCAGCTGGGGAAATCCATTCTCCAACTAGGCTCCTGGAGTGAGCTGAGCCTGGGAGTTGAAATGATAGCATAGGAGCCTGGCATATCTGAGTCAGCAGCCCAGCTGGGGACAAGGTGCAGAGGTGACGGCAGTAGCAGCAGGGTCCAGGGCAGCTGAGGGGTCCTGGGAAGTCCTGGAGCTGAGAGGCATCAGGTCAGGAGCTGCATCCTTGGTGCCTTGGAAGCCATCTGGCGGGCTGTGGCTTGAAGGAGCTGACTCACAGGGAGGGGGCAGCTGGAGCCAGCAGAGGTATCCTAAGGTTTCCAGGAAGGGCAGCCATCCAGGGCTGAGCTGCAGGAGACAATGTTGACAGCGATGTCAGGGAACTTGAGTTACTGGGCAGCTGGACAGCTGCTCTCCCTGGTCCCCACCACCCAGGGCCACCACAGCCCAAGGCCCTGCCTACCTGCCAATACCTTAAGTTGCAGTCCCCAGGTCCCACTACATGGGACCACTGACGTCATCAACACATCAGAAGGAGACAGAAGCCCAGAGAAGGTCACAACCCAAGGTCACACTGGGACTTAGTGCAGCCCAGGATCTAGAACCCAGGCCTCCTGACTCCCTGTCCAGCGCTCACACACTCTAGAAGCAGCTGGTTGCAGCTTGAAACCTTGGGAACCATGGGGAAGAACACAACGGGTCTCTGGCTGCATACAGATAGGCACCGTGACATTTTTCCAGAGGTGAAGTTCAGACCCCTACACCTGCTTAGGTTGTCTAGAAAGTGTGGTCTGAAGGTGCTACCCTTCTTCCAAACACATATGGGGCTTTCTGGGAGGGAGCATAGCAATTCCAAGCGGACTCTCCCACCCTACTCTGCCCAAAAAAGGTTTATAGGAGTAGGGGGAGTCTGGACCCATGATGCCAGGACCCAGGAGACCAGGAAAGCAAGTAGTTAGTAGAGATCTGAGAAGTGTTCTTCGAAAAATCAAGCCAGCAAAAAAATAAAAAATAAAAGTAAAACATCAAATCAGGTTTTAGAATATGCATCCCTGGCCAGATGTGGGATGGGGCACCCGAAGTGGGCCCCAGCAGCTCCTGCCTGTCCCTGTCCCTGTCCCTGCCACCTCCTCCCTGCGTCGGGTGGGTCAGGTTTCAGGACCTCAGCGCTCAGATTTTGCAGCATAAATTTGCATCCAGGACAGACCAGAGCAGAGGCTGAGGTAGGAGTGGAGAGAGAAAGGGAGCAGGGCCTAGGAGGTCCTGAGGTGCAGGCTGGCCGCTGAAGGTTCAGGATCTTCCCCCACGCGGCAGGACATCCGCCAAGGTTCCCAGATCTGAGACGGCGCACCTCCTGCGTGTCCTTGACGGCAGGTGGACTTTCCAGACCCAGCTGGTGACGCCAGTGCCCCCTAAATCCCAGAGGTGGCCCCTTCCCTCGTGCCCTGGCCGCAGCCCCTGGGATCCCGCGGACCCCTGGCCTGGCGGTGCAGGAGTGGTAGCAGGTCCGCGCGCCTTCTTGCCGGCGGCCGGCGCTGCTCAGCGGCGCGGCTGGACTGAGCCGCTCCCGCTGCGCTCAGAGTCCGGGCCCCTGGCGCCATGCCAGGCCCGGCGGGCGTGCGCCCGGCGCGCAGCACTGCAGCGCTGGTCATATGAGCAGAAATGATGAGAAAAGCACTTTTTAATCTTTTCGCACTTGCTCTGCCCGCTCAAACAGTTGCAGGATGTCGATGACAGACTTGCTGAACGCTGAGGACATCAAGAAGGCGGTGGGAGCCTTTAGCGGTGAGCAAGCGCGCTCCCCTCCCCATCCCTCTCCCCTCGTCCACCGCCCGCGCCCCTGCACTCCGCCGGCCCCGCAGCCGGCGGATCCTCCCCAGCGCGCTTCTGCCCACACTTCCCGCTGGGCGCCGGCGAGGTCGGGGCGGGGGCGTCCTTGGCAGTTCCCAAACTCTGTCCGGGCGAGGCTTGGCGCGGGGAGCGGGCGGGGAAGAGGGCGCCCCGCCTAAGTTACAGAAACTTGAGGGTGCTGAAGGCCCGGTGGCTGGGAGGACTCAGGGTCCGGGACCAAGGGCGAAGACCAGGGTCGGAGGAGAGACCTCCAGGGTCCTTGTACGAGCTCTCTGGACGTCCTCTTTAAGGCACTTAGAGGGGACTGCAGGGGGCATCCTCCTCTCCAAGAGACCCCTTTCCTGGACCCTCATTCTGGACAGGACTTTTCCCGCCAGGCGGTAGCCTTTGTTGGCCCCCTGACTGTCCTAGTTCCTTTACTGAGATTCAGCAACGGACCTGCGGGCGAGGTGACCTTCTGGAGCCGGCGCACAGCTCTGCCTAAGCCCGCACGGGGCATCCTCAGTGCCTCAAACCTCCAGCCTCCTTAGGCGGGCAGGGGAGGGGAACTGGCAGTCTCACCTCTCCCAGCTGCCCGGGACTTCAGCGCTAAGCTGCCCGCCTTCCTCCTCCCCTGTCCTCCAGATGGGGAAATCAGGGAACTGTCTTGGAGAGGACAAGACATTTGCCCAAGGTCACCTAGCTGGGCAGAAGGGGTATTAGAACTGGGTTGCCCAGCCTAGTGTCGGAGGTGGACAGGGCAACTTTCCTTGTCTCTAGCCCTGTGCTGAGGGGAAGAGAACATGACTTCAACAGCCATTCCCTACACACACACACACACACACACACACACAAAATACATGATCTAACATTGTACCCTTCCCCAGGTGTTCTAAAACAGGACCCCAAGATACAGAAAATTGCAGGTAGAAAAGGACCCCCATTTCCTTTCTGCTTTGCACCCCCTCCCCTGGGCACAAGAACCTCTCTGGGAAGCCACCCTCCCAGGGTCCTGGGATAACCCTCTCCCTTCACCTCAAGCCCATGTGGGAAGAAACTTAACTGGGTGTTTCTCGGGAGCCTCCTAACACCCCCTTCCCACTGCCTCCGAAGTGGATTTCTGCGCAGAGCCAGGACTTCCGGGTTTGCCCCTCCTCCTCCCACTGTATGACCTTGAGGGAAACCTGTCCTTTCTATGTCAATTTTCTGGCAACAAAGTCTGTGGCCAAGAAAGAAGGTCAACCCTCCTCCCCCTAACCCCAGGACCATGTTCATGCCCCCTTCAATTCCCCAGCCCACTCCCAACCAGCTGGCACTCAAAAGTCTTCCTGGGCACAAGGTTCTCAGAAG
Organism: Homo sapiens; assembly: GCF_000001405.40. Lineage (NCBI taxonomy): Eukaryota > Metazoa > Chordata > Mammalia > Primates > Hominidae > Homo > Homo sapiens. The sequence goes on along the minus strand of NC_000022.11, from coordinate 36,815,549 downwards.
AACAAAAGCCTTTGGTTCTTAGGTGCTGCTCCCATCATCAGCAATGGGTGCAGTGGAGGTGGGGCGTGGGGGCGGGCTTGAGAGCCAGGGAGGTCTGGGTTTGAGCACACCTCTTCCACTCCCAGCCTTGTGACCTTGGACAGGTTATCCTCCCTTGCCCGGGCTCCCTCAGCCCTCCAATGGAGGTGGGTACCTCTCATTCCCCATGACTGGCATGTGGGAATCCATCAACAAATGCCTTGATGCCCCCCATTCTCCCAGGCTTCCCTACCAGCCTTTCTGGTCCTTGTTTGACCCTGCTCTTCCCCCCACAGCTACCGACTCCTTCGACCACAAAAAGTTCTTCCAAATGGTCGGCCTGAAGAAAAAGAGTGCGGATGATGTGAAGAAGGTGTTTCACATGCTGGACAAGGACAAAAGTGGCTTCATCGAGGAGGATGAGCTGGGGTAAGCGGAGGCCTGCAGGGGCTGCCCAGCCCACGGCTGCACGAGAGGGAGTGGGGGCTGGGACTCTAGCTTCCAAGTGTCCATCAGACCTGCCTTTCACTCTGCCTGCTTCACAGAAAGTAACCGTGCGTGAAGGCAGGGCTCCGACCCAGGGCACCAGGGGAGAAGGCTTCCTGGTGCTATTGCTTCGGAAGAGTAAAACCCTCAGCTGAAAGTGCAACTAACTAGGTTAAATGATAGCCACTTAATATTGCTAATGGAATGTTGCTACTTAATAATTTAATGCAAATGAAGAGGCAGTTTTCTTGCTGCCTAACACCATAGGCAGGGCAGAAAGCATTCACTTGAGTATTTCATTGATTTTCATTTGTCTAAAAGACACTTTCCACCTTCCTGCAGCCCCCAGCCCTCTGGTACTAGTGTGGCTGGTGCAATTTCTAGGCAAGCCAGGGATGCAGAACCACCTCTGAGAGTCCAGGGGTCCTTGGAGAAAAGCAGAGAAGGAGAAGGCTGTGGCTAGGAAAATGCATGCCTCCATCTGCAAAAGCATCTCCCACCATAATTCCCTCAGCCACCCGGCCATGTCTACTGACTCAGGTTGCCTTATGTCACTTTCTGGCCAAGAAAGCCTTGAGTTTTGTCAAAAAGAGAAGCGGGGGGTGGGTGTAGGGAGAGGCCTTTCAAGTAGGGACTTCCCCACCCATCCTGTCTCTCCCCTAAACCATCTCACAAGGGTACCTTCTGTCTAGAATCTTCACGTTCTACCCACTTACATCCAACATGCATGCACACTTATGCACACACACACACACACACACACACACACACACACACTCACAGAGGCTGACTTCCCCCTGTCCTCCAGGTATCACCTTCACCAGGAAGCCTCCCCTCTCCTCCCCTCACCGCAGGTGGGCAGATACAGCTTCTGAGTGCCCTCCTCCACGGCCCATCACACTGTGTGGTCTCTCTCGGAGCCCGTGACCTCCTTATTTTTTCCAGTGCCTTCCGAAGATCACCACTGTGACCCCACTTTCCAGCATACGCCAGACACAGAAATGACACTTAGTGAATACTTGTTGGATAAATTAACGAATGTAGGTGCCCTCCCTGAAGTGAGGACAACCCTTCACTGAGGACAGCCTGTCCTTTCCTAAATACTCACCCACGAAAGCACAGCCACCGAGCAGGCTACCTGGCCCAGAGCATCCGTGTGCGTGACTGCTGCTCGCTGCCTGTCCCAGCCATCCCTTTCCCCATACAGAAACCAGACCACCCTCCATCCAGCGTCCTGCAAGGCGACCTCGGCCTGACTCCCTCACCGGCTTTCTCCCTTTTCTCCTCCAGATTCATCCTAAAAGGCTTCTCCCCAGATGCCAGAGACCTGTCTGCTAAAGAAACCAAGATGCTGATGGCTGCTGGAGACAAAGATGGGGACGGCAAAATTGGGGTTGACGGTGGGTAGCCGTGACCTGGGGTCTGGGCATATTGTGGATCTTGGGGTGTTGGATGCGAAAAGTTTGAAGCTATGTCTGTCACAAGGAAGGGATGATATGGGGGTCCCTCACTCCCCCAGATTAGAAGACAAAAAGCAGTCCATTAGGTCTGAGAGCTCTGCCACATACTCCAGACAAAGGAAAACTGGTGTATTTTCCTAATTTGAAAACCTAAAAGGAATAGATTCTGTTTTTCCTGCTGGGTAGGGGATCCAGGAGGATTTGGGATTTTTTTTTCCTGAACTCTGCCTGCATTTTTGCATGGATACTGGCCCAACCTCTGCCCAAACTGGCTGTGTGACCTTGGGCAGTGTCTCTCGATCGCTGGGCCTCTGTCTCCCATCTCTAATCCAACGAAATGAGGCCGACTAATCCCCAAGGATCCTCTGCCTCTCACATCCTCAGATTCCAGGGATGGAAATTCCTATCTCCTGTCCTCCTCAGCATCTTGTCCTGGTGTCCTGTAACCCCAAGTCTCAAAACCTGTTTGGGTTTTACTCAAATATACTATTCTAGCCTTGCAGCAGAGCCAGGAAAAACAGTAAACCAGAAATCAGTGGGGAATTCAGACAGGGAATACCTGGCCCTGCCTTGCTTTGCAGGCTTCAATGTCAGCACAGGTGAGAGACCAGTGGCCCACCGTCCACTCCTTTCTCCATTTGGCTCTGTGTGGCATTCATGGAGCACACCCACATTGCTATCTCTCTTAGCTTATGATTTTCTCCGGAATTATCTCCATTTTGCAGGTGGGCAAATGGACTTTGAAGGTGCTTAGCCTAGTTGAAAGAGCTAGGACATAGCGGTGGAGTGGGGATTTAGAACCAGGCCTGAATGAGTGTTTGCAACATACTAAGCTGCCATTTGTTCCCATAATAGGCTTTTCTGCTGGTCTCAGAGAAAACTGTGTGTAGGTGTTTGGCCTCTGGGCCCCAGGCTATCTGGGTTCAAATCCCAGCCCTACCACTTTCGAGCTGTGTGACCTTGCGTAATTTGATAACTACTCTGAGCCTCTGTTTTCTCATCTCTGAACTGAATAGAATGATAATTCTTACAGGGTGATTACAAGGGTTAGATGTGTTAATATGTAAAGTGCCTAGAACAGTGTCTGGCACAGAGTAAATGTTATATATGTATTTGTTAGCTAATTTTTTTAAAACTAGGTCCCTTCGCAAGGGTACCTTCTGTCTAGAATCTTCACGTTCTACCCACTTACATCCAACATATAAGTGGATGTAAAACTTAAAACTAGGGATTGGGTTGCATTCATCCTTCTAGCCCCAGTATCTAGCCAATACCCCACACAGAGCAGGTGCTTCATAAACATCCGCTGCCTGAGTGTAAAGCCCAGACCCCCATGCTCTGCTCCTTCTCTGCCCCTTGCCAGCTGTGACCTTGAACACGTCACCTCTGCACACCTACGTTCCCTTGCCCGGCAAATGGGGTGCATCAGCTTCTCCTAAGACCTATTTGGGCTTGTTGTGAAAATTAAGATTCTGTGAACCCAAAATTGCTTTGGGAAAGGTACAAGGATTATGAAAGTAGGTGTATGCCTATGAGTTAGAGGGTTTTTTTTGTTGTTGTTGTTGTTGATTTCTTTTCTGTTTGTTTGTTTCCTGCCAGTAACGAGAATGGAGAATCCCTATCCAGGTCAAATGCAGGGGGTCCCCTGGCCATCTGATGCCAGCTGCCCTTCTTGTGGCTGGGAAGGAGGGAGGTGGTTTTAAAGGAGTGGAGCAGAGGGTATTGGAAAGGCATCATTGGCTTGGCCGCTCCTGGGGCTTCTGGTGCTTGGCAGATCCTCCCTCACACCCCCATCCCCACCAATCTGCTTATCAGACAGCTCCACCCCAAGGCCTGGCTCCCATCTGAACCCTGACCCTGGCCTCCAGACCTGCCTTCCATTTTTATTTGCAGCCAATATGCCATACCTCAGAAGCCCTGGGCTGGGTCTTCATGGCTGACTGCTCACAGAAAACCTACCTGATGAAGAGAAACCAGCCAAACCTGGCCCAGTTCCCTGCCTCCCTCCCTCCCTCCCTGCCACACTCAGATCTTAAGGCATCAACTAAACTCTTCTAACAGATCCAGCAGATGTTGACTGAGTAGCAACTCTGTGCCCGGCAATGGAAGAGGTAAAAATAATTCAGGCCCATTTCCTGACTGGGTGCCCCTGAGCAGCTACTCCTTAGCCCTGAGCCCCAGCTTCCTCATCTGTAAACTAGGCATTATAACATGGAAATGTGGCCTGTAGTGCCCAGCACATAACAAATGCTCAATAAATGGCCACTGCAATGCCTTATTTATTTATTTATTTATTTATTTATTTATTTAGAGACAGTCTCTCTCTGTCACCCAGGCTGGAGTGCAGTGGTGTAATCTCAGCTCTCTGCAACCTCTGCCTCCTGGGTTTAAGCAATTCCCCCCTCCCCCAGCCTCCTGAGTAGCTGGGATTACAGGCACGCACCACCATCCCCAGCTAATTTTTGTATTTTTAGTAGAGACGAGGTTTCACCATGTTGGCCAGGCTGGTCTCGAACTCCTGACCTCAAGTCATCCGCCCACCTCAGCCTCCCAAAGTGCTGGGGTTACAGGCATGAGCCACTGCACCCGGCCATGCAATGTCATTTTTATTGTCTGCAAATTGCTTGCAGCTCTACACATATACACAAACAAGCGATAGTGCCAGCCAGAGGCAGAGGCGCAGGCATCAGGCATTTTGTACGGACTTGGAGGCTAAGCCACAGGCTGTAGGGGACAGAGGGAGTGGGGTCCAGGCAAGGTATTGGCATCAGCCAAGGCTGGAAACTTTTGGGTATGTTCAGAAAGGGGCAAGAAGATTGTTTTGCCAAGAATGGGAGGAAAGAATTATTAGCTGGGCATGTCATGTGTGTCCAGCCTAGTGCTGGGTTTGGTTACCTCATTTGACCTTGGGACAACAGAGGACATAAGTGCAGATGTAGAAAGGGCAGCCCAGGGAGTGAGTGCAAGGTCACAATGCCAGCAAGTGTCAGGGCCAGGATTCAAACCCAACAGCATGGTCCAGGCCCACCTGTGCAGCCTCCATTGAGCTCATAGGCAAGACATAAAATAGACAATGAGCACAGACCACCCTGAGGCACTGGGGCCCCACACTTCATGCTTTTGAGGTGGGAAGATGCAGATGCCCCCTTCCTCACTCCCAACCCCCTAACGCAGGAAGGGTGGGTGCAATGATGCCCAATAGGCAGCGAGATGGGAAGCAGAGCCTTTTTGGGGCCCAGGACGTTCTGTTTCAGATACTCTGCTTTGCTGTCACTCTCTCTAAAGGCCAGAAGGCCCGAGCCCCACCTATAGCTGGAAGATGCCTTCAACTCCTGGCGGGATCTGGGGCATGTCCCAGAGCCCCTCTGACCATAAAGTGCCTTGTCTTTAAAACCATGGGGCATGCCGGGCGCAGTGGCTCATGCCTGTAATCCCAGCACTTTGGGAGTCCAAGGCGGGCAGATCACAAGGTCAGGAGTTCGAGACCAGCCTGGCCAACATGGTGAAACCCCACCTCTACTAAAAATACAAAAATTAGCCAGGCGTGGTGGCACACACCTGTAATCCCAGCTACTCAAGAGGCTGAGGCAGGAGAATCACTTGAACCCAGGAGGCGGAGGTTGCAGTGAGCCAAGATCACACCACTGCACTCCAGCCTGGACAGCAGAGCTAGACTCCATCTCAAAAACAAAACAAAACAAAACGAAAAACCAAAAAAAAAAAAAAAAAACATGGGACATGGGGCAGATCACTAGCCAATTACTGGGGTGCGTTCCAGCCCCGGGATTTCACAGATGTCTCAGTGGATAAACCTCTACACAGAAGACCACTTCACTATTTTGGCTCAGCTGCGTGACCTTGAGTGATGATGGCAATAGCATCTAAGTTCATAGAGCGCTCAATATGTGCCAGGCACCGTGCTTAGCATTTCACTCATTTAATCTTCCTAGCTATCTCTGAAGTGTATACTATTATGATTCCCATTTTATAGATGAGCACACTGAGGCTCAGAGAGGCTAAGGGCTTGCATAAACCCTTTAGGCTAGGAAGAGAAAAGATCAAAGTCTGAAAGTCGGGTCTTTTGAGCTCCGAAGCACGTGACCTGTGCTGCCTGCTTCATTCATTCATTCATTCATTCATAGTTTAATTTACTATAAGATGATTATATTTATTGACTTATTGCCTATTTCTTTCTCCTCCACTAAGATGTCAGGTCCACTGAGCAGGAACTTTGTTTTTTTCAGTTCTAATCCCAGCACCTAGAATAGGGCCTGGCCCATAGTGGGAGAAAAAGAAAAGTGTATTTGGTTGAATGAATGAATGAATGAATGAACAAGTACCCAGCTCTGGGCAGCACTGTGCAGTGATGAGGATCATAACTGCTGTATGTAGTGGGAGATGATCTGCAAGCCAAGGTTGGGGATCTGTGGAGACTTGTCTGTAGCAGGTGCCAGGGAGCCCAAACCAGGGACTGCCTCTCTTCCCTGCTCTGTTTGTCCTTCTGAAGGTGAGTGATACTTATCAGTTTCTTGAAGATCCTGTATTGAAGGGAGGGGGTAGGAAGACAAAGTTCTAATAATAACCCTTTGCATTCCCGTCTCTGGGGCAACTACTTCCAGGAAGCTCAAAGGCTTTTATAGATGTGGTTGATTCATTCTCAAAGGCCACCCTAAAAGGCTGGTGCAGAGCTGACATGGGGAGGGCTTAAGGCTGAAAAGGAAAGAGAAGCTAGAAAAAGAGGTGAAGGGTGCCAAAAAAAAATCTTTGTTAAAGCACCTGCAGTTGCAAAGCCCAGGCATAAAAAGCAGACAAAGCAGACTATGTGGCAGGTGGCTTTTCAAACACTTCACCTTCACAACAGGTCTCCAGCTGGGAGCGGGTGTCAGCATCACCTGGAGGGCCTATGGCAACACAGATGGCTGTGCCAGACCCCAGGAGTTTCTGATTCCTTAGGTGGAGCCCACACTTTTGCATTTCTTACAAGTTAGCAGATGGTGCTAATGATCTGGCGAACCACACTTAGAAGACCACTGCCTTACAATAATCCTAGGAAGTAGATGCCGTCACTATCCCCATTTTGCAAGTGGAGAAACTGAGGCATCGTGAGAAGTGACATGCCCAGGGTCTCTCTGTAGCAGAGCTAGAACTGAGGCTCGGTGGTCCAGCCAGGACCCTCTGCCATCCTGCCTCACACGAGCATGTGTCCCCAGCCTGGGCCTTCCAAACTCAATGCCTGCCCCCGCAGAGTGTGTTGACCAACAGGAATCGAGGTTAGCATTCATCCCCACTTCCTGTGTGCCAAGTACAGCACACAGGCCTTACATCTTTTAACTCATTCAAACCTCCCAACAGCTCTACAAGATATTTTTGTTACTGATACATACAAGGAATCTGAGGCCCCGGGAAGCAGAGCGACTTGCTGTGAAGCCTCAGGGCCCTCTTCAAACCTTGACTCCTAATATCTTGCTGCAGAGAAGATCCGCATGCCCCGTGTGCACACGTGCCTGCACGCAGTCCTAGTTACATTCTTCCTGAAACCCATTCCCGGCGATGGATCCACTGCCCTCTGCTTTAAGTGTGTCTCAACTCAAGAGTTTGGGGTTTGCATTTTGCTTCTGTTGCTGAAACATGTAGTCATCATTATTGCCTAACCTTGCAACCCCCCCACCCCTTGCCACTCACTCGCATGCCTGAAGGAATTTGCCTTTTCTGCTTCCCTCTGGCAAAATCTGTTCCCTTTTATCCTTAAGTAGCCTATTTACCGTGAGAGGCGTGAGAGGCGGAGTGGTAGCGTAAGGCCTTGGGCTGTGGTGGAGCACCTGAGTCAGGCAGAAATTAGAAAGCCAAATGCTGGGGATCAGCCGTGGGAATGGCTGTATCTTTTCCTCTCTCAGGACATCCATTCCCACACCTGGAAAGTGGGGAGAAAAATACACACCTTACAGGGCTGTTGCTCGAATGAAGAGAATGTTCTAGAAATGATTCCTTTCCTCTTATTTTATGGGAATGTTTTGCTCGTAAGCCACCCAAAACCTTTTAAAAGTGGTGGAATCTCAATCCTCAACAGAAAGGAAATTGAGTCTAAAGCAGGAGAAAAGTGAGAGAGATAGAAGGAGAATTTGCCGTTCTCCCTGTAATTCTAGCCCTCCGGCCTCTATGGGGATTTGATTTCTAAGTAGGACAGGATGCTCAGATCAAGGCTAGCCCAGGGTTTTGAGGGCAGAGCCCTAAGGTGCACGATGCTTTGTCCCATCTCATTGCACCCTGGTACCAGCTCAATGAGGTTTAGGGGACACTGTGATGCCCACTGAGAGACTTGAAAACTGAGGCCCCGTAGACAGTAAGTGCCAAAGTCACATAGAAGTCCTTGGCCCAACGGGACCCGGGTCTCCTGACTCCACCACTCCCTCCCCTAAGCTGAGCTGAGACGTTTTAGTTATAAATGGCTTCTGTGCTTAGCAATCTGCTCTTTTTATTCCCGTGTGGACTTTCCCTAGCTCTGGCCTTATGCTGCACTAGAAAAGATTTAGCAAGGGGAGAGGAAGCAGCCTTCCTTACATAACTGGCCTCTTGTGAAAGGGAGCAGCTGCTTGGTGGAAAAAGACATTCCCCTCCATGCATCCCTCTCCTTCTGCCTCTGGGGGTTGCAGCTTGAGTCAGAACCAGGACCATTTAACTCCAACCTTTGAGGAAGAGACGCACCCTGGCCCCAGCCACGCCTGTTAGAATCTTCCTAGCTGAGTGACACAGTGACACTCAGCCTCAGTTTCTCTGTAAACAAAATGAAGATAAGAGAGCCGACGAGGATGAAATGGAATAACACACCGTGCGGTGCCTGGTACAGAGTGAGCCCCAGAACTGTTGACGCGGCCTCCTTGTGGCTGTCTGGCTTGACCCGGAGTGACTCTGCCTCCCAGTTCTCCGGGATGGGAAGGTGATCCCTGTTTGAGATACCAATTTATAAGAAACCGAGCCCGGGAGCTATTTAGAGGTGAGGTGATAAACCAGGAGGCCGGCTCCTTCATCCCGGTCATCACGACAGAGGGAGGGAAAGAGCCTTCCAGCCGCTGACTCAATGGCCGGCTCAGTTTCGCTTTGGGCCATCAGCGTGTGTTGCTCTCACCTGTCAATAGCTTCTAAATTTGTCCAATCCCCGCGGCCTTGGACTGGGACAGACCTAATTAGGCTAATTTCAGTTTCCTAAGGGAAAGAAAAGAACAGAATCCTCTAGTCCTCTGATCCTCCCTCTGCTGCCTCCTTCCCACCCCCATCCCTACCATCTACCTCCTTTGTCGCTTTCTGGTTGGACAATGATGACATCTGCAAGCTGGCCCCAGAGGGTCTTGGGCGAGGATTTAGACTGCAAAAGTACTGCTGTCCTTTCATGTCTTAGAAGAGAATGACCATTCTGGATACCTCCAAAGGAAGACTGTCTCTTCTACCTGTCAACATTAAGAGTTGATTTAGTCGCATTCCCACTGTGTGCCAGGCACTGTGCTGGGCACTCCTTCTCCATTATCTTATGGAGCCCTTACCATAACCCTATAAGGAGATAGTCCCAGTATCCCCATTTTATAGATGAGGAAACTGAGGATCAGGAACTAAGTTGCCACGGATGGATGTGCCGGAGGTGGGATGCTAGCTCTGATGGGATAGATGGGTCGGAAACTTGTACCAGGTCAGCTGGCTGCTCTTTAGGCTTTCCGTGCCCTCTGTTTATATCTTCCTTGTCTTGCTTAGTTTCAGGACTTTCGTAGTTAATGTTATGTCAAAGCTCCAACCTGTGTCTGTTGTGCTGGGGAGATCCACACGGGAGGCGGAACTAACACTTATAAACCAGTTACTGTGTGCCAGGCGTACTACCCCATCTGGTCTTTCTAATAGCCATCCAAACAGGCATTATTATACCCACTTTACAAATGAGAAAGCTGAGCCTCAGAGAGCTAAAGTAGTGACTGATGGCCACCTAGCCAGATAGTGATGGAACAAGATTCAGATGTAGGTCCAGGGTTGCTGGATGATTGTAGGTAGGTGCCAGGGCGGAGGCAGGAAATGCTGGGATCATGGAGACAAACAATGGCAACAAGAACAACGATGATGCTAACAAATACCAGTTACAATACCATTTAGAGCCTCCTGCTTCTGCCGGGCAGCAACTAGGCGTTTATAGGCTTGGTTTTAAAGTGGCTTGAAGTACAGAAACACCTTGGTTGCAACACCACCAGATACCGAGAGCTTGCTATGCATCAGGCCTGTGACCGAGAGCTTTAGTGCTGGCTCCTCTGAACAACTTAAGGAAGTGGGCACTATCATGAGCTCCATTTGACAGGTGAGGTGAAGCATCTAGTCGAAGGTCACAGGAACAAGAAATGGGAGCTGGGAGTTACCCCCAGCTTGCTTGCTCCAAACACCGTGTGACAGCTGGAAAGGCGTCTTCTAGACCCAACACTCACTCATAAGAAAAGCAAGACCAGGGAGGATGAGGCATCTTGTCCAGGGACAGCAGCAGATGGCAAAGCCAAGACTAGAACCCGACCATTCAAAGCTACATTCCCCATCCTGGGATCCTACCTACCACCAATTCAGCTGACCTAGAGTTTACAGGATCTTTGTGTAGTCTTTGTTTGTTTGTTTGTTTGTTCGTTTGTTTTTGAGACAGAGTCTTGCTCTGTCACCCAGGCTGGAGTGCAGTGGTGTGATCTTAGCTCACTGCAATCTCCACCTCCCGGGTTCAAGCTAGTCTCCTGCCTCAGCCTACTGAGTACCTGGGATTACAGGCGCGCGCCACCACTCCCGGCTGACTTTTGTATTTTTAGTAGAGACGAGGTTTCACCATGTTGATCAGGCTGGTCTCGAACTCCTGACCTTGTGATCTGCCCACCTCAGCCTCCCAAAGTGCTGTGATTACAGGCATGAGCCACTGCACCCAGCCAGTCATTTGTTTTTCTTTAAGGAGAGACCTGGGCATTTTAGAGGAAGGGTTTGGCTAGGAGACCTGTTCGTTAATTGGCTGGCTCCTAAGAGCTCAGCCCTGAGGCAGATAGGAAAGGCACGGAAGGGGTGGCTCCTGCCCTCAATTTATCTACAAAGTCCCCTATTGAAGGTTCTGAGGGGATAAAATTAGAATTCCGTGTTCTCTGCCGAAGGCCAGCGCATGTGGCTACTGTGATGTCCTGGCTGCTTGAGAACAGATTGCAGGGTGGGCAGAGGGGCTGATTTAAGAGGCTTTCAAAAACCCCACAGCTCCAAAGTACCTCCCAAAGTCTGGCTCCAAAATGTCTGACTTTCCGTCACCGGAGAGTCCCTCATTGGTGTCCCTGGGTCCCCGTCACACCAGCTGCACCAAATCCCGTCTAGTGTGAAGGTGACCAACGGGCTATTTACCGATGAGCAGCCTGAGAGCCCATAATTTCCAGAGTGAGGATGAAGGGGTCAGGGCAGGCTGGAAAACAGAGAGGACCAGCTTCCCCTCTTGACAATCTCTCCATGAGCAGGCGGTGATGGACAGGCTCATGCATCCTTTATCCCAGGACAGAGAAACTCAGTGCCCCCAAACAGGGAATGCCAGTGCTGGATGAAATGACAGGTTGAAGCTGTAGAGGGTTCATGCTTCTGCCTGAGCTGGGACACTAGCCCTCTCAGGAGTAGCCTCTCCACATTCATGTAGCAGGTTCCTGAGGCCAGAGGCCAAGTCCTGGCTCTGCCTCTTGTTTTCCACATGACCCTGACACCTCACCTTCCCAGCCTCCATTTCCCCATCTATAAAATTAGAATCCTCCCAGACTGTCATGTGAATTATATAAAGTAAGTCAGAACTTGTTGATCCCTAAGAAGGACTCGTGAGCTATCCCATCCACCCACCCAACCACCCACCCATCCATCCATCCATCCATCCATCCATCCATCCATCCACCCACCCACCCATCCATCCATTCATCTTTCTCTCCCTTTATCCATCCCTCTATCCATCCATTCCTCATCCCTCCATCCACCCATTCCTCATCCATCCATCCATCCATCTACCCCCCATCCATCCATCCCTCTATCCCTCCCTCCATCTGTCCATCCATCCCTCCATCCATCCACCCAGAGCTTATTTATGAGCACCTACTGTGTGCCAGGAACACTGTGGCTGCCAGGAGAACAGTGAACAAGAGAGAGGCTCCCCTGCCCTCTAGAGTTTGCATTCTAGTAGGGGGAGACTGACAAAAATAAGTGCATAAATAAGATCATTTCAGAGAGTGCCAAGGACTATGAAGTAAATAAAAAAGGACTAATGCGATGGGATGGTGATATTTGAGCTGGGACATGTGTCACTCTATACCAAGGTCAAAGTAGGTCGGAAACTACAGGGATGAAGAAGGAAGCCTAAGAGCATTTCTAGCTTGAATCATGTCATGGTCAAGCTACTTAATTTTTGAGCCTCAGTTTCCCCATCTGTAAAATGCAGACAAAGGTGTCTCTCCCATGGAGTAGTCATGAGGATTCAATGAGATAATATATGCAAAATGCTTCCCACATTGGCATTCGATAAATGTTAGTTACTAGCTATAATTAATAAAAGTACTGCTAATAAAAGACATCTCAAAATAACCACCTGCCCCACCGAGGTCCTGGAAGATCACAGGCTCCTGGCTGAGAAAGCAAGCACTTTGACGCCTGCCCTATGGGAGGGATTCTGTACGAGTATTTGTTGTTTTGGTATTTATTTGAGACTCCATCCTTGGCACTGCTGTTACCACTCAGCCAGAGAGCCTGGAGATTTCAAAACCAGCTGGTGGACCCTCACTCTCTCCCACCCTGCATCCCCCATATCCAGGTCACCCACTTTTCCTATCCTAGGACAGCCTGGGGACAGGAAAGGATGATGTCTATTTCCTAAGTCAAACCTCAGGAAGGTGAGGCACCCAGGTACGTGTCCCTTCATCTAGCCAGGGCCAGTGCCAGGTTGTTTCTTTCTTTTTTTTTTTTTTTTTTTTTTTGTGTGAGATGGAGTCTCACTCTGTTACCAGGCTGGAGTGCAGTGGCACGATCTCGGCTCACTGCAACCTCTGCCTCCTGTGTTCAAGCAATCCTCCTGCCTCTGCTTCCCAAGTAGCTGGGACTACAGGTGTGCGCCACCACGTCCAGCTAATTTTTGTATTTTTAGTAGAGACAGGGTTTCACCGTGTTGGCCAGGATAGTCTCGATCTCTTGACCTCGTGATCCGCCCACCTCAGCCTCCCAAAGTGCTGGGATTACAGGAGCGAGCCACCGTGCCCAGCCCAGTGCCAGGTTATTTCTACAATACAGCATGTGTTGGTTTGGCTTTTGTGTGTGTGTGTTTTCACTTTTTTATTTTGAAATAATTGTAGATATACAGAAGAATTGAAATGATAGTACAGAGAGTCCTGTACACCCTTCACCCAGCTCCCCCGATGTTAATATTTTACATAACCACAGTACAATGATGAAAACTAAGAAACTGGATAGGTGGGGTTTTACATTTGTATTCCACACAAAGTCCAGGGAGGACGCAGCTCACCTCAAATGAGTCTCAGATACTTTTTGTGGCCTTTTTGAAGCCATTTCACGACCAGTTTTTTATTTGTCTCACCCAAGCAATTATTACTGGCCCCTCTCTTCACTCCACTGACAGATGAGGGAACCAAAACCCAGAGAGATACATTTTCCAGCAAATAGGGCCAGACTAAGCCTGGAAGCCCTAACTTTCAATCCCCAGCCTGTGCTCTCCCCACATCACAACACTCCATTTTCTTTTTTCTTTTCTTTTTTTTGTTTGTTTTGAGACAGAGTCTGACTCTATTGCCCAAGCTGGAGTGCGGTGGCACGATCTTGGCTCACTGCAACCTCTGCCTTCTGGGATCAAGCAATTCTCCTGCCTCAGACTTTGGAGTAGCTGGGATTACAGGCGTCCGCCACCACACCCAGCTAATTTTTGCATTTTCAGTAGATACAGGGTTTTACCATGTTGGCCAGGCTGGTCTCAAACTCCTGACCTCAAGTGATTCACCTGCCTCAGCCTCCCAAAGTGCTGGGATTACACGCGTGAGCCACTGTGCCCAGCCAAGACAACACTGCATTTTCTAGGGCGATGGGCACTTGCCTGAGACCCTACACTCCCCAGCAGGCTGAGACATGGCATCTCAGAGACACGTAGTGGCACGTGGCAGCAAACTCCTTGTCCTCTCTCATCTCCTGGGGAGAAAAACAGCAGAGAAGTCCAGAAATCAGGACCCTGAGCCTCAGTTTCTTCATCTGTAGAACAGGAACAATGCCAAAATGCACCAGACAGGACTATTGTCAGAGTCAAATAAGATATTGCATATAAAGTGTTTCGAATAGTGCCTGGCATATGATAAGCATTCAGAAAACTATTATTATTATTATTGCTATTGTTATTAGTGTAGTTATTATTAATGATTTTGGGTGTGGCATGGCATGATGAACCAAAAGATGTGGTAGGCCCATCATTTCCCACCTCACTTCACTCATCTGCTCATTCATTCATTTATTCATTCATTCATTTTCACACTTACGCTCTGGGGCTGCTGCAGCAGAAGCAAGAACCCAGAGAGAGCACCACCCAGGGCCCCGCAGTCAGGTGTGGACAGTCTCTCTTGCATCCCCGCCTCTGACTCACTTTCCTTGTCATTTTGTTCTGCAGAATTCTCCACTCTGGTGGCTGAAAGCTAAGAAGCACTGACTGCCCCTGGTCTTCCACCTCTCTGCCCTGAACACCCAATCTCGGCCCCTCTCGCCACCCTCCTGCATTTCTGTTCAGTTCGTTTATGTTATTTTTTACTCCCCCATCCCCTGTGGCCCTCTAATGACACCATTCTTCTGGAAAATGCTGGAGAAGCAATAAAGGTTGTACCAGTCAGACTCTGCTTGCTCAGGAAGACCCAGGCCTGGTCAGGCATTGGCTTTCCAGATGCATCTGGGCAGGGGGTGGGGGCTGGATTTCAACAGTTAGAAAAGTTGTGATAGGAGGGAATGGAAGGGAACAGTCTCTTTTCTGTTCTAAGTACTAAGCATGGAACTCTACAGAGGTTACCCACTTACTCCCTAAAACCACCCCATAAGGTAGGTGATGAAACTCCCATTCTCTGAAAAACTGAGTCTCAGAGAGGGGATGTGATGTGTCTAAGCCCACAAATACAGGATTTGCTAGTGTTGGGATTTGAATGCAGGTCCGTGGATGGGTAGGTGGATGGATGGATGGATGGATGGATGGATGGATGGATGGATGGATGGGTGGGTGGATGAATGGGTGGGTGGATGGGTGGGTGGATAGATGGATAGATGGATGGGTGAGTAGATGGGTGGGCAGATGGGTAAATGGATGGATGGGTGGGTGAATGGACGATGGATGAATGGGTGGATGGGTGGGGGGATGGATGGATGGTGGATGAATGGATGGATGGATGGGTGGGTAGATGAATGGGTGGGTGGATGGGTGGGTGGATAGATGGATAGATGGATGGGTGAGTAGATGGGTGGGCAGATGGGTAAATGGATGGATGGGTGGGTGAATGGACGATGGATGAATGGGTGGATGGGTGGGGGGATGGATGGATGGATGGATGGATGGATGGATGGGTGGGTGGATGGATGGACAGACACATAGATGGATGGATACCATTAAGAATTTTTTTTACAAATGACAGAACCCCAACTCAAGTAACTTAAGCTAAGAAGGAAGGAAACAAAGGACTTGACTGGCTTATGTGCCTGAATAGTTAAGGGAAGGTCTTCAGGAACAGCTGGATCAAGGGACTCAAGTGATATCATCAGGACTAAGTCCCTCTTTTCCTCTCTCTGAGTACTGCTTTTCTTTGTGCTGAATTTGTTATCAGGAGGGCTCTCCCTTCGTGATGGCAAGATTCCCCCAGCAACTCAAGGTGAACATTCAGCATTACCAGCAAAAAAAAAAGAACTTCTTGTTCCCAGCCACTCTATCAGAAGTCCCCAGATTTAGTCCCATTAATACTAGTAGGTAACATTTACTGAGCACTTACTCTGTGCTGAGTCCTTTACAGGATTCCATCTGCACAACAGCACTGTGAAATGCATGCTATTATTACATCCCTTGTATAGATGAGGAAGCTAAGGCATGTAGAATTTAAATGTTGGCCAAAAGTCACACAGCCACCACGGGGAGGATCCAGGACCCCAACCCCAGCATCACCTCCAGAGCCTGTGTCCCTTCCTGAGTCAGACACAGAGGCCAGGAGGAGGGATCTTGATTGGAGACAGGTGGAGTTGGTCACCCACAAGGCTCACGGCCTGAGAGTGGGAGAGGGGTGTCCCTGTGGAAATGAAAAGTGGGGACAGATGCTGGGGGTGAACATGGCCACGTCCCTACAGAAGGGCTTCTGCTGTTCCCCAAGACAGCCCTGGGGAGGTTATTTTAGATTTCCCTGGGTGGAGAGGGGGCATTGGAGTGTTAGTCTCTCTCTCACCAGACCCCATGCCCTGCACCTCCCCTGCTCTCTGAGGTGTTGCCCTTAGGCAGGGCTGTCAGGAAGGCTCTCCCTGAGGGCCCAGCCCGGGGCAGACAGCCCATCAGGACGCAGGCTGAAGGGCAGGAATGGGCAGGCCCTCATCCAGGGTGGTAGCCAGGCTCAGAGCAAGCAGGCCCAGGCCTGGGAGAGGACTCAAGGCCAACACTGGAAACTGGGTCAACACAGCAGCAAACCCCAAAGGGCTGCCCTGCCGGGGGCTCAACCAGGCGCCAGGGCCTGCACAAAGGTGGCAAGTGAGCCAGAGGTGGAGCACGCGGGAATGGGCGTGGGAGTGGGAATGTGCATGAGTGTGCGTGTACACGTGGGGAGGCGTGAGGGCATTGGTACACACATATGCTCGTGACAACAGTCAGGACCAATGCAGACTTGGGTCTTCATGTGGGGGTTCTCAGAGGGCCCAACTCTGGACACTGAAGTGGGGTTGGGGAAGAGGAAGAGGGCCCACCCCATGCTGGGTCTGTGTGGAATGCAGGAGGAGGGGCTGGGGCTGGGGAGCGGGAGCATTTCACCCGGAAACCAGGTCAGAGCCCTGCGAGGGACAGGCAGGTCAGGATGACAGTTGACAGCTGCCCGCTGGCCTGGAGTGGCCTCAGTGCCTCTTGTTCTGCACCTGCATGACAGCCCACACCATGCAGTTCAGACTCAGGGCAGCAAATGGCGCAGCAGCCACGTGTCAGAGAGCACGGCCCTTTGACCTCCTGGGGGATGCAAGGCATTAGCTCCAAGACCCTATTTTGAAAAGACTCTGTCTGGGGCCTGGGCAGATCAAGGAGGAAATGTCTTCCCTGCAAGGGCTCAGGGCCCCTGCGCTGCGGCTGCAGGATAACAGAGGCAGCAGTAATGGCGGCCACTTTGGGGGTGGGAGGGTTCTATTTACTAAACCACAACATCTCATTTCCTCCTTTCAACAAGCCTCAGCAATAAGCAGTACCATTACCCCCTTTACAGACAAGAAAGCCAAGGCCCTCTGGGGACACACAGCCAGCAAGAGGCAGAGCTGGAATTAAATGCAGGGCTTAATGACCCAACATACCACTGCACAGCGCAGGGTGACAGCAGTGGGCATCTTGTGTGGAGGGGGGATGGGAGGGAAGCACAGGAGTGTGGCGGGGGAGGTGAAATGACAAGGGAGAGCCTTGCTGACCCCGGCAGTCATTCACCAAGCCCTCTTCCTCCTGCCTCCCACGTCGTGCTCCACTCGACCGTTTCTCTTGGCCTTGGCCACCACCTGAATCTGGGCCCCATCACGGGTGGGATTGGGCATGACAGAGCCTGGCAGCCTGAGTCTCCCATTTGTAAAGAGCCTCCAATTCAGACACGGGCATCTGTTCAAACACGGCTAATATCCAGTCAGTGTCTGTAACACAGGTTTGGCATCTTTCTACACTGCAACGTTCACCGTGTCGAGGGGGCTGGCTTCTCCCGGTCTCTGGGAGACACTGTTGGGACCGCCCTGGTGTCCATGGACCACTGCAGTGGTCCCCAGCCTGTCTCCTGGCCTCCTCTCCCCCTCCCTCTCCCCTCTCCACCCAGAGCCCAAGGGCTCTTTCCAAAACATGGATCAAGTCACATTGTTCTGCTTAAATCTTTCCAGCGACTGCCCAATCTATAGAATCAAATCCCAGAGCCAAACACAGAGTTCCTGCCTACGGGCATGACCCAGCCTCTATCCCAGCCCTTCTACCTCAGCCTGGACCATTCTGCCTCCCTGTCCTCCCCAACCCCCTTTTCCCTGGCTCAGTCCTCTTCATCCTCAGGAATCTACTCTGGAGCGTCACCCCAAGCTGAGGTTAGAGCCCCTGCACCAGTCTTGTGAGTGAAATGAAAAAAAAAAAACCAATATGTGACAATCTGATTCCTGTCCACCCCTCCCAAAGACCATGCAATGCCTGAAAGTAGGGCATGTCTGCAGGGGTCCTGCTAAATCCCAGAACCTGGCACCAAAAAGATGCTGGGCTTCACCCATCCTGATGCACATGTGGCCATAAAGGCCCAACATGGCTTGTGACTCACTCAAGGCCACATAGCAGTGCAGAGCAGAACGGGGCTTGGCCCCAGGCCCCTGCTGCCCCACCCCTGCCATAGTGCCATCCATAGGGACCTGCTAACTCAGTAAGGAATGCAGGCATGACAGGAAGTCCTCCCTGCCCAGCATACCCCTCTGTGGCCCGGTATCACTGGGCTCCAGTTCCTCAGTCTCCAGCCACCCACTGCCCTGACACCTGCCCCACCAGCCGCCTCCGGGTTTTCTCATCAGCTGAATGCAGCTCCTTCTCTTCATTGTCATGATCATAGGAGGCTTGCTGTTTATCTCTATGCCTTTTTGTCTTAGAGGCTGGGAGCAGGAAGGAGAAAGCTCAGGCTGGAGGAAGGGCCCCAAATCAATCTGTCTCTGAGTGGTTTTAATAAGAGCTGGGAGCAGCCCAGCTTCATCGAGTGATGAATGATCACTGGCTCCCTGGATGCGTTGATGTCCCAGAGCTAGAAGACAGGGGACTCAGCGGGGAAGGAAGAGCCAGGAGCATCAGAACAAAGACTCCACGGAGAGGAAGGATGGGTGGGAAAGTCAGGATTGAGCTGCCCTCTGCTCTTAACCTGACCCTGGATAATATGACTGTGCAGGGCTATAGCTCTGCGGCTGGACAGAGCTGGATGCCAAATCTGCATCTCCCTCCTTCTTGCTGGACACTTTGCATATACCATCTGCTATGGTCCGAAGGTTTGTGTCCCTCCAAAATCCACAGTCAAAACCCAACTCTCAAGGTGATGGTATTAGAAGGTGGGGCCTTTGGGAGGTGATGGGACATGGGAGAGAAGCCCTCATGGATGGGATGAATGCCCTCATACAAGAGCCCTAAGGGAGGTTCCTAGCCCTTTGCCCTTTCACCATGTGAGGCTATAGCAACAGGACACCATCTATGAAGCAGAGAGCCCTCACCAGACACCAAGTCTTCTAGCACCTTGATCTTGGACTTCCCAGCCTCCAGAACTGTGAGCAATGAATTTCTGTTGTTTTTAAATTACCCAGTCTAAGGTATTTTTTTACAGCAGTCCAAATGGACTAAGGCACCATGTCTTAATCCACACTGCAGCCATCCACGGAAGAGATGTCTCTCTATTTTATACAGGAAGGTTCAGAGAGGTTAGGCACCTTGCCCAAACCACACAGCCAATAAAAGTGAAAATTGCAAACATGTATTCACTGACTTGACAAATGATTTCTGAGTGCCTACTTGTGCCGGACACAGCTAACCACTTTAGAGGATGACTTCATCGAAGAAATCACTTCTCAAAGCATTCAGCCTCTTTCCCTCTTTGCTTTCCCATTAAAGATTCCCCGTCCCCAAGGCATCTGCGGCCACGCAGACGCATTAGTCTGGGAAGATTCAAATTGGGTGAATCTGATGTTGGTTTATTTAGACCCAGAAGACTGTTTACAAGAGGTGGTTCGGCAAATGGGACAGAGGCCTGGTGTTCCTGGCTCCCTTCTTATCTTCCTGCCTCAGTGCCGACAGAGGAGGAAGGCCTGGGCAGCCCGCCTGGACCCTGAACTGTGCCGCAAAAGGCCCCCCGTCAATTTCCACTCTCGGTTGCCCTACCCTCCTTCAGTTTCCCCTCTCTGTTCCCTCCTCAGGGAAGTCATTCGCAGGAATGTGTCCTCTCTGTGTCCTTTATTTGGGATCTTGTGAGGGTCAAATTTGGGGGCTTAGGACACGATCCTCTAGTTTGTCACTGGAGCCTGCAGGCTCCTCACAGCCCCTGTCATACAGATGAGGAAATGCAGCTTAAGTAGCTTTGCTGAGACTCCTGAATCCACTTGTTTGACCCCACTTTTTGCCTGATGGAGAACAGAGCCAGAATTTAAATTGCAAGGAGCCTGGAAGAGTCAGCTTCCCCTGCATCCTCCCGGGGGCCTGAGAGCACTGGGCCTTCTTATGGCTGCCATTCATTCATGAACACTTCATAGCTTTGTTCTTCCTCCCCCTTTCGCAGAGGGCCCCAAACTCCTTTACAGCCCACAAAACCTTTCATGTCTGATCCCTTCCAACTTCACCGTTTCCCCTTTCTCGCGACTCTCCTGCGTTCTCCTCTCTCACCTCCCACCTTAGCCCTGCAACCCCACATTCATTCCCTGCATTCTCTGCTTCAACTACATAAAATGTGCCATTCCTCAAAACTGCCATGTCCTCCCTCTCCTCTGGGCCCTCACATAAGCTATTCCTTCGGCCACATCACTGTTTCTCCTCTGCCTGGCTCATTGCTACACCAGCCTTAGGCTTCAGCTTCAGTGAGGCTCCTTCTGGGAAGCCTTGTTTATTCCCACCCAACATCCAAATGTAGTTGCTCATTTTTACTGACAACTCTTTATTGAGAACCTATTCAGTGCCAGGTGCAATGGGCTCCACCATACATCAGCCAGCTAAGCCTGCTCTCGGGAGCATCTGTGTTGAGGGACTCCTGCCCTGTGCTTCCAACTCCACTTCATACTCATTGCTTCTCTAAGCATCTGTCTTCTCAAAGGGACCGAAATAGTTGTGAATCCTACATCTGGTAAGGATTTAGTATCCTGAATATGTAAAGAACGCCTGCACCTCAACAACCAAAGACAAACAACCTGTGTTAGAGTCCTCCAGAGAAACAGAATAGGCTGTGTGTGTGTGTGTGTGTGTGCATTTGTGTGTGTGGGCGCACAGGTTGAGTATCCCTTATCCAAAATGCTTGGGAGCAGAAATATTTTGGATTGTGAAGTATTTGCGTTACACTTTCTGTCTGAGCACTCCAAATCCAAAAATTCAAAATTCAAACTGCTCCAAAGAGCACTTCCTTTGAGCATTACAATGACTCTCAAAAATTTTCAGATTTTGGAGCATTTTGGATTTCGGATTTTCAGATCTGAGATTTCTCAACTTGTATATGTACGTGTGTGTGTGTGTGTGTATACACATGTATATAGTGCATAAAAAGATTTGTGGCCAGGCGCAGTGGCTCACGCCTGTAATCCCAGCACTTTGGGAGGCTGAGGCGAGCGGATCACCTGAGGTCGGGAATTTGAGGCCAGCCTGACCAACATGGAGAAACCCTGTCTCTACTAAAAATACAAAATTAGCTGGGCATGGTGGCACATGCCTGTAATCCCAGCTACTTGGGAGGCTGAGGCAGGAGAATCACTTGAACCCAGGAGGCGGAGGTTGCAGTGAGCTGAGACCACACCATTGCATTCCAGCCTGGGCAACAAGAGCAAAATTCCATCTATTAAAAAAAAAAAAAAAAGATTTGTTGTAAGGAACTGGCTTACACAATTAGGGAGATGAACAAGCCCCAGCATCTGCAGGATGAATCGGCAAGCTGGAGGCCCAGGAGAGCTGATGGTATAGCTTCTGAGTCCAGAGGCAGGAAAAAAGCCAATGCCCCAGGCTGAAGGCAGTGAAAGAAATTTTCTTTTCCTTGGAGGAGGGTCAGCCTTTTTGTTCCATTCAGGCCTTGAACTAATTGGACGAGTCTCGCCCACATTAAGGAGGGCAATCACTTTATTCAGTTATTTTAAATATGAACTCATCCCCAAACACCCTCACAGAATCACCTGGGAGAATGTCTCATCAAACATCTGGGCACCCTGTGGCCCAGTCAAATTGACACATAAAACTAACCATCATGCAACCCAATTAAAAAGTGGGCAAAGGACTTGAAGAGACATTTCTCCAAAGATGATATACAAATGGCCACCAGGCATATGAGAAGATGCTCAGCACCATTTGTAATTAAGGAGATGCACAGCAAAATCACAATGAGGTGCCTGTACACCCTCCACGGTGGCTGTCATCCAAAAAAATGAAAATAAGAAGCATTGGCAAGGATGCTGAGAAATTGGTACCCGCATATATTGCTGGTGACAGCATAAAGTGGTGCAGTCACTGTGAAAAACAGTTTGGCCATTCCTTAAAAAGTTAAAAGGCTGGGTGCAGTGGCTCACGCCTGTAATCCCAGCACTTTGGGAGGCCAAGGCGGGCAGATCACGAGGTCAGGAGATCGAGACCATCCTGGCTAACACGGTGAAACTCCATCTCTACTAAAAATACAAAAAATTAGCGGGGCGTGGTGGCACACACCTCTAGTCCCAGCTACTCAGGAGACTGAAGCAGGAGAATCACTCGAACCCGGGAGGTGGAGGTTGCAATGAGCTGAGATCACGCCACTGCACTCCAGCCTGGGTGACAGAGCGAGACTGTGTCTCAAAAAAAAAAAAAAAAAATTTAGGACACAAGTTTATGGGACATGAGTTTCTATATGTTCCAGAAATTCCATTCCTAGGTGTATATCCAAGAGAAATGAAAACACATACACACAAAGACTTAGATACAAATATTTTTGGTTTGTTTTTGTCTTTTGAGACAGAGTCTTGCTCTGTCACCCATGCTGGAGTGCAGTGGTGCGATCTCAGCTCACTGCAACCTCTGCCTCCCGGGTTCAAGTGATTCTCCTGCCTCAGCCTCCCGAGCAGCTGGGTTTACAGGCGTGCACCACCACGCCCAGCTGATTTTTGTATTTTTAGTAGAGACGGGGTTTCATGATGTTAGCCAGGCTGGTCTCGAACTCCTGACTTCAGGTGATCCGCCAGCCTTGGCCTCCCAAATCGCTGGGATTACAGACATGAGCCACTGGGCCTGGGCTTGTACACAAATATTTATAGCAAGTATTATTCATAATAGCCAAAAGGTGAAAGCAACCCACACGTCCATCAATGGATGAATGGATAGTCAAAATGTGACATACCGTACAATGGAATATTTTTAACCATAAAAAAGAATAAAGCATTGATACGTGCTACAACTTAGGTAAACCTTGAAAACATTATGCTACCTGAAAGAAGCCAGTCACAAAAGATGACATATTAGATGATTCCTTTTATATGAAATACCCAGGGCCGGGCACGGTGGCTCACACCTGTAATCCCAGCACTTTGGGAGGCTGAGGCGGGCAGATCACTTGAGGCCAGGAGTTCGAGACCAGCCTGGCCAACATGATGAAACCCGTCTCTACTAAAAATACAAAAATTAGCTGGGCGTGGTGGCTCATGCCTGTAGTCCCAGCTACTAGGGAGGCTGAGGCAGGAGAATCACTTGAACCCGGGAGGTGGAGGTTGCAGTGAGCTGAGATTGTGCCATTGCACTCCAGCTGCTGACAGAGTGAGACTTTGTCTTCAAAAAAATAAAATAAAATAAGTAAATAAATACATATATGAAATATCCTGAATGGGTTAGTCCGTAGAGAGAGAAGACACATTAGTGGTTTCCAGGAGATGGGGAAGCAGAGAAAGGGGAGTGATTACTTAATAGGTACAAGGTATTCTGGGGTGGTGACAAGTTTTGAAGCCAGAGGTGGTGGTTACACATGACTGTGAACGTCACTGACTTGTACACTTTAAAATGGTTGGTTGCTTGCCATGTGAATTTCACTGCAATTATCGTTGTCCTCACCCACCTTCCCTGTTTCGTTCTTAGGTTTCCTACGTGCTGGAATCCTTCACCGTTGTAACCCCAGCACTTCATACGCTCCCTGGCACAAAGGGGATGCTTAATACATCTTCGTTGAGTAAATAAACACAGAAAGCAAAAAGGAAAGCAAAGCACCTACAAATGGAGAAAATTAAGCCTTTCTATAATTAGGGGCAGGGAGTGGAGTCTGAAGGGAAACTGGGTTTATTTTGTGTGATTCTGTGGGCACAAAATCAGGAACAACTAGTGGGATTGAGAAGGCAACAGCTCTTGACTAAACCTAAGGAAGCCCTGTCTACCCTTGGAGCCGTAGAGCAGTAAGACCGGCCATTCTGCAAGGCAGTGAGCATCCCGTCATGAGAGGCATGCAAATGGAAATGAGGGAACTTGTTGAAAGAACTCATGCATCAGCAGGAGAGTTCCCCTAGACAACATGTTCCTCCCAACTTGGAGACGCTGTGATCTGAGATGACTTACAGTCATTAAAAACTCATTTAGCCTCCTGCTGGCTCCTTGTTACCTTGTTGAATCAATCATTCACCAGATTATCTACTGAGCACAGGTGTCAACGGATGGATCCAAAGAAAGTGCCACTTCCTAAAGAGGCAGAGAAGTTTCCATGCCGTTGTTCTTATTTTCTGCTTCCTGACCTGACCCAGAGTTCAGAACGCCAGCAGGGTTAAGGCTCTGATGTGCTGATGTCACTGGGTTCAGAGATGAGTTGGCAGTTCACGTCCCTCCTGTGGGCTGCTCTGCCTGAGTGGCTGTCCCTGCAGTGTGCCTGCCACCTCCTGGCTCTGATGCTGTCTCATAGTGGTGGCATCACCACCATCTCCTGCTTCTGATGCTGCTCTGGGCATACCTTAGTGCCCACACCTGGCCCCAGCCTCCCTCAGGGCCAGGCGGCGGCGTGCAGACAGGCGGTGGCGTGCAGACAGGCAGCTGCGGCAATGCAGAAAGGGCAGAGCTTGAGAAACATGATGGGCATCCACAAACATACTATCACGTGTCCTTTAAAATACTGAGGCTCTTCTGTAGTGACCTGGGGACATGCTTATGCTGTGGAGTTTAATTTTTTATAGGTGACATTACATATTATTACCCACTGATCATCACTGTTGCCTACTCACCACTAATTCTCACCTCTTTCTTTCCATCAGAAACCCATTTAGGGGCAGGGCAGCAATGTGCCCTGTGGAAAATACTCCCCTGACCAGGGGACACGGTTTTGGTCTATGGATGTCCACAGGCAGCCCTGGGTGGGGTTTGCACGGAAGCCTCTGGCTTTGGTCTTCCTCCTTTGCCATGTCTAGGATGCAGACTTGGTGCCCAGAGACGGAGCTGTCTTCCTATAACCACAGAAACTAAAGACGTAGCTGAGGACAGCGGCATTAGAAATCCAGGAGAAGCCTGGGTCCCTGATGGCTCTTTAAAGCCCTCCCACTGGCCTGCAAGCTGCCAGCCTAAGGGTGGCTCGTGCCCATAATCCCAGCACTTTGGGAGGCCGAGGTGGGAAGATCACTTGAGCCCAGGAGTTCGAGACCAGCCTGGCCAACATGGTGAAACCCCACCTCTACTAAAAATACAAAAATTAGCCAGGTGTGATGGTGCACACCAGTAATCCCAGCTACTCAGGAGGCTGAGGCAGGAGAATCACTTGAACCCAGGAGGCGGAGGCTGCAGTGAGCCGAGATCATGCCACTGCACCCCAGCCTGGGCGACAGAGCAAGACTCCATTTCAAAAAACAAACAAAAACAACAACAACAAAAAAGAGTGCCTGTGACAGGAGGAAAACAGGCCCCTGTTTGGTTAAGTTGCTGCAGTCTGTACCTGAAACAGACGTAATTCTAACTAATGCTGTAGAAATCAAAGAAAATTTACAACACGTAGTGTAGTGGGTTGAATAGCACTCCCCACAAGCTAGGTCCTCCAGAGCCTCGGATTGTGCCCTTATTCAGAATAAGGGTCTTTGAAGATGTAATTAAGGTAAGGATCACGAGATGAGATCCTCCTTGATAAGGGTGGGCCATAAATCCAATGACAGGTGTCCTTAAAAGAGACAGAAAAGGAGAAGACGGGCAGAGGCCCAGGGAAGAAAGCCCAGTGAAGGCAGAGGTGAAGACGGAGGCTGGGGTGATGCTGCCACAGCCAGGGACCAGCAGCCGGAAGAGGCAAGGAGAGAGTGTTCCCAGAGTCTTCACAGGGGGACTGCTGACACCTGGATCTCAGACTGCTGGCCTCCAGAAACATGGAAGAATAAATCTCTGTCCTTTTAAGTCACCTAGTTTATAGTCACTTGTTACAACAGCCCTGAGGAACCAATACAGGCAGAAAAAGGTGCCATACAGGGTGCGTTGGCGTCCACCTGTAGTCTCAGCTCCTCCAGAGGCAGAGGTGGGAGGATTGCATGAGCCCAGGAGTTTGAGTCCAGCCTGGGCAACGTTGAGAGATCCCGTGTCTCTAAAAAAATAAAACATTAAAAGGTACCATAGAAGATGTGGCATCTAAGTTGGGCATTTGAAAGACAGACCGTTCTCACGTTAAGAAAGAAAAGGGCCAGCTGGGCGCAGTGACTCACACCTGTAATCCCAGCACTTTGGGAGGCTGAGGCAGGCAGATCACCTGAGGTCGGAAGTTCGAGACCAGCCTGGCCAACATGGTGAAACCCTGTCTCTACTAAAAATACAAAAATTAGCCGGGCATGGTGGCATGCACCTGTAATCCCAGCTACTCGGGAGGCTGAGACAGGAGAATCACTTGAACCTGGGAGGCGGAGGTTGTGGTAAGCCGAGATCACACCATTGCACTCCAGCCTGGGCAACAAGAGCAAAACTCCATCTCAAAAAAAAAAAAAAAGAAACAAACAAAGAAAGAAAACAAAGAAAGAGAAAGAAAAAGAAAGAGAAAGAAAAAAAGAAAGAAAGAAAGAAAGAAAGAAAGAAAGAAAGAAAGAAAGAAAGAAAGAAAGAAAGAAAGAAAGAAAAAAGGAAGGAAGCAAGGAAGGAAGGGCCCTTCCAGACACATGAGTAGCAAACTGTAATAGTAATCGCCTCCTGCCTTGAGCACTTCCTCCGTTGAGTATACTTTCCATCCAAGCCTGGGTGATGGATCTCATATCCCAGATACCGGGGGGCCTGCACCCCCATCCCCCTTGCCCTGAAGACCTAAGCCTCTTGTCCAAGGGCTGTGGGAGCCCACTCAGCCCCTGCACAGGCCGAGGCAGAAGCGCCCGAGAGCAGTGCCCTGTGCAGCCCTCAACCAACACAGAACAGTGAGCTGGATCAGAACACACCAGCTTCCTCCCCTCTGCCAGGATGATCTGAGGTCAGCTCCAGGCAGTCTCCCAGAGCCCGGCAGGCCTGAGCCTCTGTAGACCACAGGTGGTGGTGGTGGGCTCATTAGTTCCCCCTTCTGCCTTCCTCCTTCTCCCTCTCTCACTTGTCCACTCCCCTGGAGGTGCTTTGGGAATCACTTTACAATAAACCACTTGTACTCTAGTCCTTGCTGTGGATTGGCTCCTGGGGAAGCCCCACCAAGCCAGTGTTGGAGTTGGGGATTGTATGTGGTTTATCTAATCCTGGAGCCCGAGCTAAACTGGTCTATCCTGTGGGGTTATTTGCACCACAGTCCCGATGCGTGTCCAGTATTCAGGAACACAAACTAGAAAGCAGCCAGCTCTCCACAGCCCAGAGCAAATGTGGCAGGGAAGCAGTCGCTGCAGGACCAGTCCCTTGAACATCGTGCTGTGGAAACAGAGTGTGCTCTGATGCTCTCTGTATTCACCAGAGAGCCTGCGGGGCCGCCTGGGATGCACTCCAGCAAGAAGCCTGCGCCCTGCTCTTACCACCCCAGCTTCTCCAGGTCTTGGGCCACTTGTCACCCTCTCCTGTAGCGCTCACATCTGTTAACTCTCGAGGGGCGAAGAGAGGGCAATGGGCAGAGTGTTTCAGAGACAATTCTGGGATGCCTGCAAAGCTCACTGGGTGAGCCAGCGCCAGATGAGAAATTGCTATGCTCCGGCAGTTTTGCAAAATTCAAAGCTTTTTGCTGGAGCAGAGGGTCAGTTCTTGGAAGGTTTCTTGCATAATCATCCAAAACGTCACCTTGTCAGCATCACCAGAGAGACCATGTCGGATGATCTGGGGCCAGCCCTTTCTCTGCATTTGGAAAGATCTTCAAGAATGTGAATCACAGAGGAAGCGAGGCCCAACTTTATTGCCATCAAAAGGAAATTGCCTACACTTCATGGGCTTCTTGCAAAGAAAGCTTCCAGTCCCTGGTAGAGAAAAGAGTGCATTTATTTATTCATCCACTCCTCTATTTATTTAACAACTGTGTGCCCTAAAGTAGTAATAACCGGGGGCATTCACCCAGTGTTTACTCTTCGGCTGGGCCAAGTGGTTTCCATGTAAGAATCCCATGTAACCCTCACAGCTCTCAGAGGTAGGTCTCATCATCAGCCCCACTTTACAGATAAGGAAACAGAGGCTCAGAGAAGTTCACGAGCTCTCCCAAGATCACCCAGCCAGTAAGCCAGGGGGTTCAGGTTTGGAGAGAGAAGATTTCAATTCTCGTCTCAGTCCTTCTTCTTATTAGCTATTTCGTGTCCACGTGTCATTTGATGCATTTAGCTGAGCCTCAGTTTCCTCCTCTGGAAAATGGACGGAGCCCAGGTAAGAGTTACCAGACCAGGTGAAGTCCAGCAGTCGGGGAGTATATTACACAATTCAGAGCCCACTCTCCAGCTCGGCATATCCCAAAACTGTGTTTTCCCAACAAAGATTAAGTCGGTAGGATGTTCAAAATCTTTCCCAGCAAGCCAGATGGGGATACTGAGAGTAGGCCACAGACATGTTTTTTGCTCAGACTTTAAACTCAGATCTGTTGGCTTAAATGTCTGCCCTCCTGTCCCTCTACCGGGTGCTCGCATCACTGGGCACACCACCCTCGGGTGGGAGAAGTTGAAAGGGTCTGGGTTGCTTTGCATCTCATCAGCTTCCTCTTTGACAGTGGGATGCCTCCTGCCAAAACAATCACGCCTGTTTACAGCTCTAAGAGGCTCGGGAGGCAGCCTGGAGTCCTGCCCCACTGGCCCAGTCGGATAATGCTCTTCTCTCAGCCAGCCTGCGTTTCCCCTGCAGTTCCATTGGAGAAAGGCCCCCCAGCTTTATAGCCTGAACATCTAACGGATATTTTCACAACCCGTTAGGCGGCTTCTGAATTTCAGCTCCCAGATGCCGCATATGGGTGCTGACGACTTGTGCCAAAAATATTTGGAGGAGAGGATGAGGGAACCAACCTCTGAACGGAGCTGATCATGGTAACAGTGACAGCCGTTACCTTTGTCCAGCATTTCACAGTTTGCAAAGCACGCTTAGGCACTACGTGGTGTCAGTTTTGACCCTCGTGGTAACTCTTTAAAGAAGAGGGAGGTTACAGGTATTATTGTCCCAAGCCCAGCCATATCAAGTGGACTGCTGTCTGTCAAGTGACAGAGAAAGTGCTCACCAGGAAGCCCCTGGAGGGAAGGAAGGGTCAGGATGAGCCCTAGGGGAGTCACTTCAGGAGCAGGGAGCAGAGAAGGCTCCAAGGTATGGGAGAAAGCCCAGTGGAGGGGGAAGCTGCAGGAAGAGAAGCAGGAGAAGAGGGGTCTCCAAGCAAGGCAGAGGAATGCCGGGAGGAAGGAGAGGCAGTGCCACCTCTGCAGAGATGCTCCATTGGAGATAGTGTGGCCAGTGGCTAAGAAGGTGGGTTCATGGCTAGTATATTGCTAAACGTCCCTGTGCTTCAGTTTCCTCATCTGTAGAATGGGCATAATGATAGTCCCCAATTCATGCAGTTACTATGAGGCTTAAGTGCTTATTCCAGGCCTAGCACATAGTAAGCGCAAAGTGTCCCCTATCCTAAACCCTGGCATTGGACTTGACCACCCAGCCATGAGTGATTTTCCTTTTTTTTTTTTGAGACAGAGTCTCACCGTCACCCAGGCAGGAGTGCAGTGGCGCAATCTCAGCTCACTGCAACCTCCACCTCCTGGGGTCAAGCGATTCTCCTGCCTCAGCCTCCCGAGTAGCTGGGATTACAGGCATGCACCACCATGCCCGGTTGATTTTTGTATTTTTAGTGGAGATAGGGTTTCACCATGTTGCCCAAGGCTGGTCTCGAACTCCTGACCTCAAGTGATCTGCCTATCTCGGCCTCCCAAAGTGCTGGGATTACAGGCGTGAGCCACCGCGCCTGGCCATGAGTAACCTTTGACACAGGTTTGGGGTAAGATGGTTTGTGGCATATCATGGAATAAGTGGAGGTGAGGGAATGAAAGAGGGCCTGGAAAGTCCTTGGAGGAGCCATACTTTCAAGGATGAAATGCAGGAATAAGGGATGGTCTCCCTTGGAGATGTGGGAAAGGCTCGAGCTTGTGTGGGCAGCAGGGGTGGCAGAGGGCAGCAGACGCAGAAGGCTCAGAGGGGATAACAGTCAGGGCACTGGCTGGAGAGGATATCAGGGGCTGCAAATCCTTAATTAGATGGATTGGTTTGGGTAGAACAGCCACCTCTCCTCTCTGAGAGTCCAGGTGTAAATCAGGACATGGGATGCAGGGTTGGAGGTAGGAGGAAGGAGGGGCATTTGAGCTGGGTCTGGACACCTGCCCAGAATAGAATTAGGCAGAGCCCCTTCCCCTAGTCACAGAGATAAGCATCTTTGGGTTAAGACAATGTTTATCAAATGTTTATTGTTTCCTAGAAGGCTTCCTGAATTTGACTCCTAGCTCAGCTACTGTGTGACCTCTGACAAGCTACTTAATCTCTTTGTACCTCAGTTTCCTCACTTGTAAAATAGGGATCTTGAGATCATGATGCTACCTGCCTGTCCAGATGGTTGTGAGAGTGAGATGACACAATCTAAGGAGAGAGCCTGGCCTGGGTCAGTGACGGCAGGCTGTTAATTTTTTTTCTTTTTTCTTTTCTTTTCTCTTCTTTTCCTTTCTGTTCTTTTTTTCTTGAGATGAAGTCTCGTTCTGTTGCCCAGGCTGGAGTGCAGTGGCGTGATCTCGGCTCACTGCTACCTCCACCTCCCGGGTTCAAGCAGTTCTCCTGTCTCAGCCTCCTGAGTAGCTGGGACTACAGGTGTGAGCCACCACACCTGGCAAATTTTTGTACTTTTAGTAGAGATGGGGTTTCACCATGTTGGTCAGGCTGGTCTCGAACTCCTGACCTCAGGTGATCCACCTTCCTCGGCCTCCCAAAGTGCTGGGATTACAGGCGTGAGCCACCACACCCAGCCTGGCTGTTATTATCATGTTATTAACTAGTATCATGAGCGGCTCAGTTTGAGAACCAGTGGGTTAAGACGATGATTCCTACAGAGACCCATACTAAAGTGCAGTCATTTTGACTCATATTTATAGAACTCCTACTATCAACCAGGCACCAGGATATGATGGCTGCCAAGGAGACGTGGTCCTCCCTCAAAGATTTGCACCAGCAGGTAGTAGAGGCTTGCTCTGGCCAGTCATTTAATCCCCACTACAAAACCCCAGGACCAGGGATCTATTCATGCTCCCATTCCACATGGGAGGAAACAGGGACAGAGAGGTGTAGTCAGCTGCCCAAGGTCACACAGCAAGGAAGTGGTGGAGCTGGGATTTGAACCCCAGGGGTCTGTCTGGCTCTAGAGCCTGCAGTGGTGTGCCCCGACAGTAACTACAAGTGGTGGTGACTGCCACTGGTGTCCAGAGTGTGCAGGACATGGAGGGCAAATGATGTTTGAGCTGAGAAAGGCATACAGGAGTTAACTAGATGAGTGAGGGCAGCAGGGCTAAGGCCCTGAGGCAGAACGGGCAAGTCGAATGTGAGGATGCAGAGAGCCAGCTGCTGGGCAGATGAAAACTGCCAGGGAGGAGGCACTGCCCACTCACCAGTCCTGACAGCTCCGTGGGAAAGGTGGACTTTCCCCCAAGCACAGTGGGAAGCCTTTGGGGGACTTTCAGTGGAAATGCGGTGATATTTAGAAGTATCACTTTTTACAGCTGAACGGGACTCAGCCACACAAAAGACCGAGCGCACTTTGAGTACAGACATGGGGCCACTCCAAAGTACATTAGATGGAAGAGCGGGTGCTGGCTTCTATTTGCAGAGGGAAGAAGGAGAGAAAGAATGAGAATGTGTATGTGGCCAGGCACGGTGGCTCACGCCTGTAATCCCACCACTTTGGGAGGCCGAGGCTGGCGGATCACCTGAAGTCAGGAGATCGAGACCATTCTGGCTAACACGGTGAAACCCCGTTTCTACTAAAAATACAAAAGATTAGCCACGCGTGGTGACGGGCGCCTGTAGTCCCAGCTACTCGGCAGGCTGAGGCAGGGGAATGGCTTGAACCCTGGAGACGGAGATTGCAGCAAGCCGAAATTGCGCCATTGCACTCCAGCCTGGGAAACAGCAAGACTCTGTCCCAAGGAAAAAAAAAAAAAAGAATGTGTATGTGCTTTTGTGCTGGGATATATGTAAAATCTCTCCGAAAGGGTACATAAGCAACTGTCAGGGGCGGGACGGAGGGGACGTTCTCTGTAGATTTTCTCTTTTAAATGTTGAATCTTGGGGTGAGATTACCTATCCGAAATTAAGATTTGTAAAGGACGATGCTGGCCGCTGGGTGGAAAATGGAACCCAGGATGTCTACGGCGTATTCCAAGGTATGATGCGAGAATGAAACTGGGCTATTAAGTTTCCAAGTGCATGAGGTGAGGAATCAACTAAGATGGGCCCTGAGTGTGGTGGGTGCAGCTGCCGGGGGAGGGCTGTTCTGGGAAGGGCACTGTGTCGCGCAGCTGCAGGGTGTTATATGGAGTGGGGGCCGGGGAAGGGAAAAAAGGGTAGAGTGTCAGGGACCCACTCAACTTTGCCTCTAGCAGAATTTGACATAGCTTCAGCCTGGGGCACCCAGAATTCCTTGGCCCTCCTTGAACACAACCACCCAGGCTTTATGCGTGGAGTGTGGAAAGGGGGCAGTGAGGGAAGGCGGCAGGTGCGAGAAGAACTCTCCAGCAGGACTCAGGAGCCCTTGGCTCTGGGATGTAAATCAAAGCACCGCGCCTCAAAGAGAGGCGCCCAGGTGATGTCTCAGCCTCTCATTCTCAGTTGGCGAGCAAACGGACAGAGATGCACTAATGTGGAACGTTCTGGAAAAGCGGCTCTTGGCTTCTGCAGATGGAGTATCTCGGGCTGTTAAAGGGGGCCTCCGGGTGGCTCTGGAGGGATGATTTGCTCAACTTTAAATAAAGGCGGCAGCAAATAAGTCAAAAGGCGGCAGCCCTTCTGCCCTCCTGCAGCAGACAATTTCCCGGCTGCTGCTGCCCCCTGCTGACAGAATCAGGACATCGCGGCCTCCGTGCCCCGCCGAGGCCACAGCTCAGGCCTCCACTTTGCATTCCGGGCGCACAGAAGGTGAGTCAGTTCCATTTCCTCTGCCCTTTATTGAGATGGCCACCGCCAAGTACTGCATCAGCGGAGACATAAACAACCGGGCCCACGTGAACAGTGGAAAAAAGAACAGCAAAGGTCATTACCGAGAGAAGGCAGTGCACCAGATGTGACAGTGCGTTATAGGAAATTGTAAAACAGAACTGTACCACCGCATTATAAATCCTCCTCCAGGGACTCATGGCCACCCCAGTGGCTGTTCATCAGAACTGGTGCTCACTGAGTCTTACCACGTGTCAGGCGTGCTGGGGACCCCTTGCATGTGGCCACTCTTCTGAGCCTCAAAGCGCCTACTGGAGCAGGTGGGAGGAGACTGAGACACA
This sequence comes from Homo sapiens, assembly GCF_000001405.40. Taxonomy (NCBI): domain Eukaryota; kingdom Metazoa; phylum Chordata; class Mammalia; order Primates; family Hominidae; genus Homo; species Homo sapiens. Next base: position 36,781,761 of record NC_000022.11, on the reverse strand, counting down.
GAGGAGAGGTGGCAAGACAAAGATTCAAGCCCAGGAAGCCCGAGGCCCAAGGCCTTGTAGATTGCAAGTGCAAAATCAATATCCTTTATTCAGTGGGTTCATACATCTAAATCAGTGCTTCTCATCCGTGGAAGATTTTGCCCCCCAGGGGACATTTGGCAATGTCCAGGGACATTTTTGGTGGTCTCAGCAAGGGAGCTTGCTCTGGCATCTAGTGGGCAGAGGACAGAGATGCTGTCTATATTGCTCAGGACAGCCCCCATAACTAAGAACCCTTCACCCCCAAATGTCAATAGTGCCGAGGTAGGGAAACCCTGATCTAAATACATAAAATTTCTACAAATCTATTAGCACTCTCTTTTTGGCATTGCCTCTGACATGAGGGCATTTGAGCAAATCTGCTTTAATGTATGAAAGATATTCTTCTTGAGAATTCATGCAGAATCACTCTCAATTATTTAATTTCCCCTAAAATCTCCTATTTACCCAATTGTTGGATTCCATCCAACAATTCTGCTACTACACCCTATAAGTGAAGGGGCTGTGATGGGGCCCAGGCAGAAGGAGAACCCCCTGGCTGTCAAGACACAGTGGCAAAGGGGCTTGGGCCCTGCATTGGGGATGATCAGCCCTGGCGCTGTGCGTGGAATGTTGCTGCTGTCCCTGGCAGGGAGCCGTGGCTCATCCGCATGCTGCTCTTCAGGGATGTCGGGACGTGTTCAACCCCAGGATGATTGAACAATTTCTGGGAACAACTTGTCAGCAGCTGCCCCTCCACTCCCCTCTTATCCAAAGCCCCAGTAATCAGCCCCAACAGTCTAGTCCCTGGCTTTGGGAAGCAGCACTGTTAATACTTCCTCTTCCACAGAGCATATGGGTGTAGCTAGGGGTGCAGGCTAGGGGTGGGAGAGGACCCAGGATGAGGTTACCCCATCTGAATGGTCATTGCACATCTCTCAGTAGTAAGCCCATTGCTTGCCCAAAAACTGATATTCAAGAGTTGGTGCTTGTTGAATGAATGAATACACAACCGGAAGGGTAAACCCTATGAGAGTCATTCATTCATTCAGAAGTATTTACGGGGTGCCTCACCATGCAGGGGACTGTCCTAGATACTGGGTGAACAAAAGAGACCAAGTGTCAGTTCTCATGAAGCTTACCTTCTAGTGGAGGGCGACAGATACCATATAAATAAACTAATAAATATGGAATATAGGTGGCCCTCTGCATCCACGGGTTCCACATCTCTGGATTCAACTAACTGCACATTGCAAAAATAAAAAAATAACAATACAACAATAAAAATAATACAGATAAAATACAGTATACCAATATTTCTATAGCATTTCCATTGTATTAGTTATTGAAAGTAATCTAGAGGTGACTTAAAGTATACAGGAGGACGTGTGTAGGTTTTGTGCAAATATTACAACATTTTATATAGGGGACTTGAGTAGCCCTGGATTTTGATATCCATGGTTACCAATCCCCCACGGATACAGAGGGACAGACTGTGTAATCTCTGGTAGTAGTGAACGCTATGAAGAAAGTAAAGTAAGTCAAGGATATTGAGACTGACAGATTGGGGGCGATGCTTAAATTGTGTGTTTGGGAGGGCTCCCCGAAGGCATGACGTTTGAGCTGAGATCTGAAGATCATGAAGGAGAGTCATACAGCCTCATTGGGAACAGTGCGTACAAAGGCCCTGCGGTGGGAACGTTCCCGAGGAGCTTGAAAAACAGTAAAATGACCCAATAGAGTAGATAAAGGTGGGTCCTGGCATTAGCTAAGAAAAGCAGTTCTCAACATGAGCTTGTGTCGGAGTCACCAGGAGGCCTTATGGAAGCAGATTGTGGGCTCCACCTCCAGTGTTCAGCTGGTCAGGGGTGGGGCCTGGGAAAATGCATTTCTTACTAATCCCCAGGTGATGCTGGTGTGCCAGTCCAGGGATCAGAGCATAGGGTATTTGTTCTTTCTGCACCACATCCTCCCCTATTCAACATTGACTACATGCAATCATAGATCATTACTGCTTGATCATCTGCCGCTCCACTGGGCTAGATGGTTCTGTCCACCTCTACGTCCTAGTGCTTAGCAAGCACTCAACAGAATATTTGTTGAATTAATTCCTCAAACAAGGGTTCTACTCTGGGTCTTGCCATTCCACCGTGTGTTCCATCTGCTGCCCTCCCAGAGCTCTGAGCCTTTGCATGTGCTGACCCATCCACCCAGCATTTGCCTTCCCCTGTGTCCACCTCGCAAATTCCTACAAGGCTCTCCTTTCAGAATATCCTTCCCGACTCCCTCTCCATCCACCCAGGGTTAGGAATGCTCCTCGAGGTGTACATAGGGAGTCCCATATCCACCTGTGGCACAGTGACTTGTCCACATGTTGGTCTTCCTTTCTTTACCAAAGATCGTAGATGAGCAGCCCCCAGGTTGAACCGGTCAACAGAGGTTTCTACTGCAGCTACAGTGTTTTAAATTTAAGTTCATTGCCAACACTAACAGGTCAGGGGATTTCACACAAAAATCCAGATTCCTGGCTCCTCTAGAAAAGTGTGCAACCCTGGGCCCGTATTCCCACATTGCCGTGATATCTCACCCAGAGGTAAAGCCTGGGGCTCTGTCATCCCCACCCTTCAGTGGATCCAGCAACCAACACCATGCCTGGCTGATGGTAGGCACTCAAGAAAAGCTAATTAATGAAAATGGAGAGACTATGCTGGATAATGGGGGAAAACAAAGAAACAAACATTGGTCCCCAGAGTCAAGAGATCTGAGGCTGGTTCTGGATCTGGCTGACTTGTTGCATGACCTTGGCCTCTCTGTGGCTCTTTCCTTTCTTCAAATGAATGAGAGTTTCCACTTCCCAGGGTCATGGTTTCATACAGGAGAGAGGATGTGAAGTGCTTAGCAGATGCCTCACATCTAATGCTCAATCAACGCAAGTTATTACGGCAAGGAACTCAATAAGTATTTGCTCTTTAGGAAGGGTGAGAAGGAGTTCAAATCCATCTCTGCTACTCACTAGCTAGGTGACCTTCGGTGTTTCACTTAATCTCATTTGGGCCCTAGTTTCCCCATCTATCAAATGGGGATGATACATGGTTATTGTGAATATCAAATGTAAATGTGAAATTAAACTAATTAATCCCTAAAATCACTTAGAACAAGGCCAGCCTTAAGTCTGTGGTCAACATAGGCCAGCTGTGACTATTAGAGCTGCTCAGAAATGGGATAACTCGAATTGCTCAGGAGCCCCCATGGCTCCAAAATTCTCTGACCACCTTAAACCTAGTGACTCTCATTCAGCTTACCTTCAGTCACAGAAATGTATAGAAGGCCCTTGGGTCCATGAGGTGAAGGGGGACAGAATTCACCATACAAGTGTTTACCATCTCTCTAGAAAGTTCTACAATGCTCTTATGATAATGCTGACTAAAATCACACAGAGTAGCAGCAACAAAAGGGAGACAGTGGGTGGGGAACAGAGAACAGCCCTGGGAGGGAGGTGTGATTATTACCTGCAAGAGTTAAAGAAAGAGGCAAGAAACATGAAAAGTGGCTCAACAGTTAAATACAGGTTTATTTTGGAGCATAAACCTGAGAGGGGCTTCTGGCCAATTTCAGTCAGGAGTGCTCTCTCTTACAGACTAAGAGTATTTAAGGGTTTAGGGCAAGAGAGCTTACCACAGGCTTGGAATGTTTCTGTGTGGAGGAGAAGTTTACTGTGGGGTTGGAATGTCTCCGGTCTGAGGGTGGGTTATGTTGGGGCTGACATCTCTCTGACCAGAGGGGAGGTTATCTTGGGGCTGCATGTCTCTGGTCGGGGGGTGGGTTTATCTTAGGGTTGGAATGTTTCTGATTGGAGATGTCACTTGTGGTTTATGGTCATTCTGACATTAGCCATTAGGCTGATGCCCTTTGGGTTGAATTTAGGCCGTTTTTGATCAAGGAGAACTTTAAAATGGCAGTGCTTGTCCAAGATGGCTATGCTCCGGCTCTGTCATTACCCACCTCGCAAAATGAAGGAACCAAGGCTTCGGAGGCTGCCCTGATGTGTGTCTGTGTCTTAGCTACGTGGAGCTGCCTCGGGAGGGTGACTCACCAAATGGGGTCCTTTAAGGGATTAACAGGGTCACTCATGGTGAACAGGTTGGCCTGGAGGGGAGCCGGCAAGAGGAAGGCAGAAGACCAGAAAGAGGCTTTTTGCTCACTCAGACCTGGATGTCTGAGACAGACTCACGTGATGTCACCAAAGAAGAAAAGCAGTTACGAGAAATGAAGGAGAAACAGACCTTTACCGTAGCGCCAGGAATGAATCCCAAGGAAAGAACATCTCAGACAACTTGCATTTACTCTGGATTCGGGGCTGAAACCATCAGCCATTCATAGAGTGTGTGTGTTTATTCCCCCACACAAGGCTGGCAGCCACTCTGAGATGCAGAGTGGCGGAGAGGTGGAATGTTCTAGGTGTCTGGAGGGAATGTGGAACTTTCGCACAGGCACCTTTGCTGAGGGGCTGCTCTTCCCTTCAGCATCAGCCATCAGAATCCCAGGGGCCCTGAGAAAGTGAGAACAAGGGGTACATTCGGCCAACCAGTGACAGTGATGATAAACCAAATCTGTCCAGATAAGCTTCCGCTCTCCCATCCACCCCACAATCACGTGTGCACCTACTATCTCCCAGGCACTCATACGTTTCTCTCCTTCCATCTCCACAACCACCCCACAAGGCGGGTTCTCCTAGGCCCATCCTGAGGCTGAGGGATGAGGTGACTTGTCCAGGCCAGGGATTTAGGTCTCTGACCCCCTAACCACGTGCAAGAGGCACCCCCAACCCAGTAAACGCGTACAGAGAGCCTCCCTGGGTGACGGGCAAACGAGGTTAGTGATGCATTCTCCTTTTGCAGAGAGTAAATGGACTAAGAGCAAAGTACGACTTCAAGTTTCCGAGTCTCACCGCTTAGCCCCATCAAAGTGTATTTGTTCTCCCTTTGTTCACAAACATCACTTTAATAAAACACCTTCATATTTTAGATTTTAACGCTCATTACATCTTTGAGCTTTTAAAATGAGATTTCCCTGCGGGATGCGGGGCAAGGACTGCACTTCTCCATGCACTTTAATAGCCGCGCTGTGCAGAACCCGGGAACCGGGGAAGCCGCGAGAACCGCGCGAAGTCAGAGCAAGTCAAAACGACCTCTACAGCGGCGGCCTGGCCCACTGCGCAGGCGCCGCTCCAGACCGCCTAGAGCCCAACCTGCCCCATTGTAGGCGAACCCACTTCTAGAAGGACAGCGGGAGTGGCGAATCCCTATTCCTCCCGAAGATGGGTCAAGCCAGACTCTGACCAATCAGAAAGCTTCTCTTGTCACCGCTTCTGACTGCTTGACGTGGAGGCTTCTTTATCTCGGGACTCTCAGGCGCAGCGGGGGCGGGATATAAAGCTGGTTGACGTCAATTACAACCACTCGTCAAGCAGACTGAACTTGAAGAACTGATAACTCTACGAATTGCATCTCAAGAAAAGGCTGTTATCCCAGCTCTCTACTCCCATTGGATTTTTGTGAGACCTTGAGGGTGGGAGCTTTTGGCGGCAACCAATCGAGGGTCAGCGAGGAGGAGGAGGAGGCGGGGCAGGTGGGCTATGGTTGCTTGGAGAGTGCATCCGGCCCGGTACTTGTGATCGGAGGAGAGCCGGATCGTCCTTCCTTGAACCCTCTGGGTAGGGCTGTGCTGAGGGGCTGGGCGGGGAGCACAGGCCGTGTCCGCTCGCTTGCACCTTTTCAGACTGCCGTGTCAGGCCTCGAGCCGGGCCCACCTGGAGCCCTCCCCTGCCCACCCGCCCCCAGCGCCCGATATCCGCCCCCGGCCCAGAAGGGCCGGGCTCGGTCATCCCCAGTCCCGTCGCGGCCACTGACCCTTGAGATCAGCCCTCCCCTCCCCACCTTCCCGTCCCAGGCCAGCCCAGGGCCCGAAGCCCACCCACTCGCGTCTCTAGCAGCCGCTCTTGTCCTCTGGGTACGGCTCGCGGGAGTGTTGGTTACCATGGTGAAGCTGGCAGCCAAATGCATCCTGGCAGGTGAGTCTGAAAACTTGCGCTTGAATACGGTGGTCTCTGGAGTCCAGAGCCTTCATAATTCATCCAGAGCTTTTGTTCACCTAAATTGCCTACCTTTTCCTTTCTCTCTCCCAAAGGCGAGTTACTGCAATTACTGATACAGTAAATTACGTTAGGCGTGGAAGAATGATCTTCCAGGGCACTTCGCAGCTCCAGTGGATTTCCCCCTGCTCCCTGTCACATACTCTGAGACCACCTTCACCAGTTGAGGTGACTCGTTAAAAAATCACTAGTTACAACTCTGGAGAAGCAGACTTGTTAAAACAAAACAAAACAAACAAAGCTTAAGCAAACCTTGAGTGCTTCAGCTAAACATATACTGTACCCCAAAGTTAGGCATCAGTGACTTTGGTAGTCTTTACTATGGGATTTTTCCCCCGACCTCACCCCCTCTGATAACGGTGACCTGAGTGTAGTGACCAGAGTTTGCAAAAGGCACTTGTGTGTTGTCTTTAAGACCCAAAGTTACTGTGCTGCCCCACTCCAAGAAGGGCATAAATGTTGAGTCTCCCAAAGGCAGGAATCTTTGTTTTGTTGACTGATACATCCCAAGCACCCAGAACAATGCCTGGAACATAGTAGGTACTCAATAAATACTTTTAGAATGGATGAATATGTGAATATGTGGCATGCACATTTGTAGTGTACCCCTTGTATCAGTCTGCACATTTAGAAAAACAATATTTTGGATTATAGACTGCGAAACACATATGCATGTTACTGAGTGCTTACTGCATGTGAAGCACACATATTTCATGTAATCGTCTCACCATAGCACACTGGGCTAGGTACTGGATTGTTTTTCTTTTTTTTTTTTTTTTTTGAGACGGAGTCTCACGCTGTTGCCCAGGCTGGAGGGCAGTGGCGCAATCTCGGCTCACTGCAACCTCCACCTCCCTGGTTCAAGCAATTCCCCTGCCTCAGCCTCCCAAGTAGCTGGGATTACAGGCGCAAGCCACCATGCCCGGCTAATTTTTTTTTGTATTTTTAATAGAGCTGGGGTTTCACCATGTTGGCCAGACTGGTCTCGAACTCCTGACTTCAGGTGATCCACCCACCTCGGCCTCCCAAAGTGCTGGGATTACAGGCATGAGCCACTGCGCCCGGCCAGGTACTGGATTGTTCTGATCTTACTGAGGCACTGAGAGATGTCAGCCAAGGTCAACCCCTAGTGAAGGCCCTATGCAGGATTTCAGCCCCTAGATCTGGCCAACTCCAAAACTCTTAACTCGTGTTTCTGTTGAAACCTGTGACCTTTCCAGGCTTCCCTGGCCAGCTCAGGAAAGAAGTGGTGAGAAATTATATAGAGAAAAAGAGATTCCTGTTTTAAAAAATTCCCCTCTTCCAGACTGAGAATAAATGATAATATTTTTAATGGCTTTTATAATTTGAAAATAAAAGGGTCACACAGAAAGATGACTGACAGTAGTAACTGAATCATACTGGAGCAAAATAAATTAATGGTTCTCAGGAGAATCTCCAGTTTCCAGAGCACCAGAGGAGGCAGTGTTGTGTAACAAAAGTAATTTTGCCTGTTCCTCTTATTGGCTGTGTCATCTTGGACGAAGCACTTTTTGAGCTTTAATTTCCTTATGGATAAGGTGGGAACATTATTTTCTGAAGTTACTTTTTTTTTTAAATGGGCTTCTCTCTGGGTTCTTTTTAAATTCGGTTTTCATCATGGAGCTAACTTACTGGCGCTTTGGGTGCATCAGCTCTGCTAGACCCTCAATACAGGTGGTCTCATTGAATCCTCATAGCAACCCTGTGGGATTGGCATTATTGCCATCCTCATTTACAGATGAGGCAACTGAGGCCCAGAAAAATGAGAACATTTGCCATGGGTCACAGAGCTGGAAGTGGCAGAGCTGTATGATCCAGACCCTGGGTCCCAATCTGATTTCCAGGGCTTTAGCCCAAGCTACTCTGTCCTCAAGTAGTGCTCCTCTGTGTCCTTCTATTTTTTTTTTTTTTTTTTTTGAGACGGAGTTTCACTCTCATTGCCTAAGCTGGAGTGCAATGGCACAATCTCAGCTCACTGCAACCTCCACCTCCTGGGTTCAAGCGATTCTTCTGCCTCAGCCTCCCAAGTAGCTGGGATTACAGGCGCCCACCACCATACCCAGCTAATTTTTTGTATTTTTTAGTGGAGACTGGGTTTCACCATGTTAGCCAGGCTGGTCTTGAACTCCTGACGTCAGGTGATCTGCCCGCCTCGGCCTCCCAAAGTGCTGGGATTACAGGCGTGAGTCACTGTGCCCGGACCTTTTTTTTTGAGGCGTAATTTCACTCTGTCTCCCAGGCTGGAGTGCAGTGGTGCACAACCTTAGCTCACTGCAACTTCCACCTCCTGGGTTTAAATGATTCCCTGCCTCAGCCTCCCGAGCAGCCGGGGATACAGGCACACACCACCATGCCCAGTTAATTTTTGTATTTTTAGTAGAGATGGGGTTTCACCAGTTGGTCAGGCTGGTCTTGAACTCCAGACCTCAAGTGATCCACCTGCCTCAGCCTCCCAAAGTGCTGGGATTACAGGCGTGAGCCACCCACTATGCCCGGCCTCTTTGTGCCCTTCTTTACCCCCAACTCCCTTGGGTAGTTCTTTCACCTGAGTGCAGCCACTGCCTAGTTAGTGGCTCCTGAACTCCAGCCTGCGCCTCAATCTGCAGCCTCTTTTCAGGGATTCCACAGCATTTCCTCTTGGAAGTTTCCAGGGACCAAAAGACCTCAGCCCAGAAATCAGCCCCCTCTGACACCTGTCCACCCACCCCCACCACACACATGCCATTGGTTTTATTTTTCCATCCATGACCCACAGCCCTACTGTTTAAACTGAGTTACTCTGTTTTTTCTCTCACATAACTGGTCATTGAAGGACCTGACGTTCAGTTCAAGTGTTTATGCATTGAACAGATACTCGCTGAGCACCTACTACGTCAGAGTCACCGTGCAAGGTGCAGTGGGCCTGCAAGCATGAGTCAGTTGCACTCAAGGAAGAACTAAGATGCGTGTGATACGTTCTAACACAGCGAACACAAAGTGAATGCCCTTTGTGTGCCAGATGCGGGGAAATGCCTCCAGGCACAGCTGCTACTTGTTCTGGTTCTGGAGAAGAAAGAAAACAACATTTGACATTGATCTGTATTTTGTTTACTTTTAAAAAAACACTTAAATAGTACTTATATATGCCAGGCACTGTGCATATTAACTCATTAAATCCTCATAACAATTCTGTGGGGTAGGTGCTATGATTATCTTAGGTTATACATGTTGCAGCTGAGGCACAGAGAGGTTAAGTAACTGATTTAAACTCACACAGCTAGAAAGTGATGGAGCTGGAGTCTGGCTCCAGAGTCTGTGCCCTTAAGTACCATAATATGCTGCCTCTTGATATACATGGAGATGGTAATAGAGCCTCCTGGGAGGGTTGCTCTGACATCACATCGTGCGCTACCACTGAGCAACGATCCACGTTAGCCACACAGATAAAGATGAAGGAGGGAGAGATGGCCTTCAGAGGCTGTGCAGGAAGGGTATTCTTTGAGCTTTCCTTGCAGAGAATGGACAGGATTTGAATTTGGTCTAGGGGTACCTGGAAGGAGGTGGCCTTGAGGAATTTCCAGGGACTGGGCGAACAGGAATGCAGAGCCCAGATTTGGGGTAAGGGATTACTAGGGAGAGAGTGGGAAGGTGGGTTAGGGCTGACCGTGGAGATGGGTAGGCTATGAAGGAATCCTCAGTGGGGTTTGTGTGAAGGTTTGCCAAGATGGAGGCACTGTGTCATGGGGGTCCACCTGTTGATGCCACCCACTGGGTGGATAACAGCCGGGAGAAAAAAGAAGAGAAAAGAAGTGTTCAAGGCACAGTCGGGAAGACAGAAAACGCAGTCGTCATTTCAGCAGAGAAATTTTAATGTATGGAATTGCTTCATCAAGTGTTGGAGAACTGAGGAAGCAAGAAGGCAGCATTGAGTTGACACAGATTGGCGGGCAGAGGTCGGGGTTGTCAGAAGCTTGAAGAGACCCAGGGAGCTGGGATCCGGACCCCTGAGGAAGGGGCCCTGCCCGGCTGGTCCCGGCACCTCAGGAGTTCAGTCACCTGCCGCGTGACCCCAGCACATGCCACAGAGCACCAGGACCCATTTCCCACTGGGAGGAGCCCAGCCCTGTGTTCAGGGCAAGACACACCAAACCAGTTCCAAACCATCCTGGAGGGTCCATGTTTTAAGACCACTCCTGGTACCAAGGACTACATAAGTCAGGGGCCAGGCAAAAACCAGCAACTCTACTCGGCATTTCAACAGTGAGGATTTCAGTAGGATGTGAATGACACTGGTGCTAGAGGACTGGAAGAGGAAAAGGGGGAAACTGAGGCAGCACGGGTAGTAACTGCAGGAAGGAGCACCACCTCTTGGGCTGGGGAAGCAGAGGGAAGCATGTGGGGCTCTCAGCCCAGAAGCAGGGAGGAGGGGCCCTGGGAGCCAAGGTGTGGATCTCTGAGAAGAGGGCACTGCCCGCTGGCGCTGTTTCCTCTGGGGGCAACAATAAGCTGGTCTGGGAGTAGGGAAACACACACACACACACACACCCCAAGACAGGAAGCAGTTAGTGCTGCTGGGGTGCAGGCCATTGCTAGGGTAGTACTAAGAAAAAGGAGAAGCAGGCGGGAAGAGCAGTGTCCTCTCCCCCGACTCCAGCCTTCCCTTCTTCTTCCAGAACTCCCATTGGCAGAGCCTAACAGGAAGCTCCTAGCAAGGGAGAAATGTGTCTGCAGAGGCCCCTCCCCTGCACACTGTGGAAGGATGGGCTTGGGGCTGAGATAGAAACCCAGCAGTGAGGCTGAGCTAACTGGGGCAGGGTCAGCAGGGAGGGCCGAGCAGAGGTGGGCTGAGACTCAGCCAAGGATGTGAGGAATGCAAGGGAGGCTGCCTGAAGATGGGAGGAAGGAGGAGGAGCAGTCAGAGGTGACCCGTTGAATCTGGGGACGATGAAAACACACGGTGGCGTCACAAACAGAAAGCTTGGGTGATGGGGGCAGCCCACTCAGGACCAGGGCATGACGGAGCTTGGCTGTAGACAGACTGAGGTTGGAGGAAGGTCCTTCATTCTAGTGGCAACGCACACGGGTTTTTGGATATACAGACAAAGCTTGGGAGGGAGATCCTGCCTTCTGTCAAGGTGATGAGAGTCAGTGGGACGGAGTGGACTAGGAGCAGAGCGCCGCCGATGACAGGCCCATGGGAATGCCCACACTCGGGGGGCAGAGGGGCAGGCAGATAGCAGGAGAACCAGGCCAGGGCAGGGTCACTGAGGCCACGGGGACAGGACTCGGGAAGGAAGGGGTCACTTCAGGCTGACTCACATCCTTCAGAGAAGTCAAGGAGGATGAGAACCAAGAAAAGGCCATCGGCCTTGGCAACTGTGAGGTCACAGGTGATCTCGCATCGTGCCCTTGCAGACGTCATCCTCTCTGTCCTGCAGCGCCCTGCCTGCTGTCGCCCCCAGGCCCAGCCCTTGCCCCTAGGGAAGCCTCCCTCCCCAGTGAATCCTCTCATTCATTTCTTTTCTCGATGCTTCCCAGACGCCTTGCTTCTCAGTTTGTGCTATTTGAATTTGCACTTGTCATCCTGTTGCTCTGCAAATGTGTTTATCAGTTATTTCACCTCCCTGTGCTTCTGAGCCCTCATAGCCAACACAGGCGGTTTCCTGTAAGTGTTGGTGACTCTGACTGACAGTCAGAGGAAAGATTTATGAAATTAACCAGAACAAATCTGTGAGGAATCTCATAAGCAGGAGGAGCCAACTTCCAGCTGAATTCAGGAGCAGAGCTGAAGTTGGGAGGGCGGGTGCAGTCAGGGCCCAAGGAAGGAAAGCGATGCGCTCTGTTTGCTCCGAGATGGGTGGGTACCCCTTGACAGTCTAGGCTGTGGTTGCCCCAGATGTCATGGAAGGCGGTGAGGAGGGCTTGGAGGGACAGCATTAAAAATGGGTCAGAACTCACTTCTGTAATCCCAGCACTTTGGCAGGCAGAGGCAGGCAGATCACCTGAGGTCAAGAGTTTGTGATCAGGCTGGCCAACCTGGTGAAACCCCGTCTCTACTAAAAATACAAACATTAGCTGGTCATGGTGGCGTGCACCTGTAGTCCCAGCTACTCGGGAGGCTAAGGCAGGAGAATCACTTGAACCCGGGAGGCGGAGGTTGCAGCGAGCCTAGATCGCACCACTGTACTTCAGCCTGCGTGACAGAGACTCCATCTCAAAACAAGAAAAGTGTCAGAAGTGGTCCCTGAGCTCTAGGAGAGGAGCAGGGCCTGGGAAGAGCGTGAGGTTGGAATCCTGGGCGAGTTACCCAGCCTCTCTGAGCCTCAGTCTCTTCATCTGTCAGGTAAGGTGAATGATACCTTGGCGGGGAAGGAATGAATGGGATTGTGTGAACAGGTCCATGAGGGGGGCTCAGCACATATTGGTTCCCTTCTAAGGAGTGATGACAAATAGAAAAGCAGGACCTGAATAGCTCACTCAAACCTGGAGGAGTTCACATAAAATGAAATGCCACAAGCATTGAAATAATTGTCTTACAAGGGAAAATTATAGGTGGGAAAAGTCAAAACTGAAAAGTGAACAGTGGCAGACTGTTGAGAAGTCGAGGAAAGGAGTGTTGAAGCCGACTGTAAAATGGGAAGCAAAGGTGAAGAGATGGTACCAAGTGATGTGAGTTGGAAGCCGCGGAGGGCGGTGCTGATTTTGCTAAGGATCCAGAGGATGAGAAGCAGAAAGCACGTGTTCTGCCAGGACCTGGACGGTGGAGTGCAAGTCCACGTAAGACTCAGGAGGAAAAGAGGCTGCAAATGGAAACAATCAGCATCAAAGGAGGCTCAGCAGAGCCATGAGAGGGAAAATGGGGAGGGCAAAGGGAATTAAAGATGGGCAGGGAGAGCTTCCAGCACCCGTGACGGGCACGGGAGGAGCGCTCGATTAAATGGCTCCCAGCAGTCTTGTGAAAGGCTCAGGTCTCAGACTGAAAACTGCGACATAAACCTTTAGTTCTGAGGGACCAGTTTCTGGGGCTGTTGACCAGCAGAGGAGAGGGAGATAAAGCCAGTAGGTGAGAGATGAGCTTGGAGGAGGTGACTGCTATTGCAGATAGAATTGGTGGAGAGGCCCCTGGGAAGAAGAATCCTTGGGTCACAGACAGGTATTCTGCGATGGAGATGGAGCATAGCATTTGGAAAGAGATTTCAGAATGATGAACACAGCCTCAGACTTCTTGCTTCCCACAAATGCAGAGACCCTTCCACCCCCCACGCCCCACACAAAAAAGTATTCAGGTGGAAGCTGTCAACCCAGGTTGGGTCAGTTGGACAGGTGACTCTGCCTGTCAGTGCCAGTCACACTTCTTTACCTTCAAGACTTCAAAGTAAATTCCAGTTTGGAAGTGACAGCTTTTCCCCATAGGGCGTGTTTCAGTGGAAGAGCGTCAGTTCCGTTTCCAGGGCCCCAAAGCCCTCTGTAAGTTCTGTTACCTTCTGGGTCAGTTCCTGTGGATAAAAGGCTTAGCCGTGCAGAAGTGTGCTCTGGCTGTTGTGAGGTTTGCAGATCAGTCTCATGGACCTGTGCCCTGCCCGCGGCCTCAGAACAAGTTCCCGTGAGAGGCAAGTACATCTCTCAAAACTCATTGAAGTTTTTGGTTTCTAGACTAATGTTCTGCAGCGGGAGATTCTCAAGTCAGATGAGAACTAAGGCGTTCTTTTTCTTCTTTTCTGATCTCACAGGAGACCCAGCAGTGGGCAAGACCGCCCTGGCACAGATCTTCCGCAGTGATGGAGCCCATTTCCAGAAAAGCTACACCCTGGTGAGCTGGGGTGTCAAGACCTGGCCACAGCTTATAGAGAAGTGCTCGGTTCACCATGATGAGTGACTTCGAAGTTCCTTGAGGGAAGCCTTAAGACAGCTGATGAAAGGCTGCTCAGAGGGCCACGTGGAGATCGTTTTTTCCACTAGCCCAGGGTGAGAGGTTGGCTACAGAGCAGAATGGCCACAAGCAACTTGGCCACCACGTGTAGCAGCTCACATCAGGGCAGGGAGGTGGAGAGGACTAGTTGGTCCCCTCTGACTTCTGCATGCTGAGCTGCTTCTCACAAGAATGAGTCCAGAACAAACCCTTCCACTGGAGATAGCCCTCCTGGGATCGGGGTGCTTGTGTGTCCTCCTGTAACATGCTCTCCCTTTGGGGGCCCTCAGTGCTAACATTCTTGGTGTTCCTCGGCAGACAACAGGAATGGATTTGGTGGTGAAGACAGTGCCAGTTCCTGACACGGGAGACAGTGTGGTGAGTGATGCCTTTACCCAGGGGAACTCAGGGCTCCCCCAGCTGGGCCCAGGGTCTCTGTGGTCACACCATCCTCCCTAGGAGAGATGCAGTGCAAGGCTGTGGTCTAGACTTGGCTGAGCATTTCGGAATAGAATCGGGAAGCATTCAAGGGAGGGACTGAGGAGGTGGAGGAGGAAGGAAGGAAGGAGGACTAGGAGATGGGCCTGGCCCTTGAGGAACTTGTTCTCTACTATCAAGGTTCTTGAGTCTCTTTATGGGAACCTGGGGCTCTTGAAAGTGAATTGCAAGACGTTATGTTTGTGTGTGCTTTTCTAGAGAGAGGGTTTGTAGCTTTCACCAGATTCCTAAAGAGGTCTGCGAGAAAAAAAAAAAAAGTATAAGTACTTCTGATGAAGAGAAAGGTGAGTTCCCAGGTAACCAATATGCAAAACAGACAATGGTGCTGATGTTTAGACGGTGTATGCCAGGGATCAGAGGCCAGCCAGGAAATACCCAGTGCCAGGAGGGAGCTTGTGGGGGAGCCGAGGGGTGATTTCCTAGGGGACCAGCCCTGGGGGTTCTCACATGGGCTGGGGAAGGTTTGGACAGGGCAGGAAGGGTCATCCCGCACCCTCTGTCTGCCTCACACCTTAGCCATCCCAGAAGGGTGACAGAATGTCCTACTTTAAACACCTTCCCCAGGCCTACTCAGTGACCTCCTTTAGAAAGAATTGTTCTAAGATTTGAAAATCAATTTGGTTAACAAAGTGCAGAATGACCTTTTGGAAACCAGAGCACTCACCGGCCTGTTTAGCATTCTGTTCTGCCAGGTGGGAAGTCAGCTTGTTCCTGGTATTTTTGCACTCAGGGTTACAAGAGGTGAGACTCCACACAGAAAGTGCTGGTTGGTGCGAGAACCCGTCGTACTGCCTCTCTAAGACTCTGGAGTTCGCTCCTTTCCCCTTCATCTTCTCTCGTGCCTGGGAGAAAAGACAGAGCATGTGTGAAGATGTGGGTGCCTGTATTTCACCCCTAAGACAAGTCCAGTGTGAGTTGAGAGTGATACCAGTGACTCGTAGCTTGTGGTTTTTCCACGTGGAGACTTTTCTTGCTTTTCTGATTGTAGGAACTCTTCATTTTTGACTCTGCTGGCAAGGAGCTGTTTTCGGAAATGCTGGATAAATTGGCAAGTAGCACGTGGTCTTTTTCCTGACTGTCACCACCTCCTGCCAAAACGTTTACCCCTGACAGTGCTCACACAGCAGTTTCCCTGCACTGTGCTGTTGGGAAGCTCCCATGGCATTACTCTTTAAGGGGCATTCCTCCCAGCCCAGGACTCATGGATACTTGGCAAGAAGGAGTGGCTGATGCGTGTGACTGCCCGGGCCCCAGCTCTGGGGTGCCCAGGATCCAATGGGCCAAGAGCCCTGCGGCTCGGTCCTTGCAGCCCTCCCCCTGTGAGGCCTCCCTTCTTTAGAGCAACACTGTCCTTTCAGATGGTGTCCCCTACCTCCCAAGACAGTACAGACTGCCTCCTCCCCCTCTGGGAAGTGCTGTAGAGGCCTCAGCCTATAACGAGGCTCACTTTCTGCCGTTCCACTGGGGTTTGCTCTGGAACATGCCCCTGCTGCTGCCCAGGCCTCACCATGCCCCATCCACCCCCGTCCCACCAGCCTCGCAGGATCCACTTGCTGTACCTTCCACGGTAACAGTCTCACTAATCTGGGCCAGTGAGCTAATTAGAAGGTTTGAGTTCTCCAGAGCCCTCCCCTGCCTTTCCAAGAACAGCCACATTTTAATGGGAACAGTTTTCTGCCCCTTTTTTTTTGTTGCCTAAGAGAAGTAGATCTAATGATAGTGATTTCATACAGGGTTGGCTTCATGCATCGGTTCACGACGTTCACCCCAATTGCCTACCGTGTGCATGGCCTGGCACTGGGGCTGCCATGCCCAGCAGAAGGGAAGATGTATTAGGGCAAATCCAGGCCATGTGCCACCCGTCAGCTCACACCCTCCCCTCCAGCCGGCCCTGACTCCTGGTTCACCCGCTCTGGCTTTAGCTTGATGCCAGGCCTCTCCAGGACCCCCTCACTGAAGCCTGGAAGAAGGAGGATTTCTTGAGTTAAAACCACGCTGAAGTGTCTCCTGCGTGCATGTAACAGAGCTCAATGTGTTCTAGCAGGAGTTCAAGAGTTAATCTGTGGAGTGAAGGGTTCATCAGTTTAGTCCACGGTCCTCCCATCCCTGACACTGCCAGAAGCCAGCACAGCCTTGTAGGGTGAGGAGGAGCCCTCCAGAGTGGAATCTGGGCCCGCCTTCCAAGGATCTGAAAGGGAATCCAATCTGGAGGGAAAAGGATTCTCTTCTGTACCCTGGGAGGTTACTGGCACCCCGGAAATAAACCAGGTCCTAATTGTGCGAGGTTGGGGGATCCAGAAACCAGAGCATGGCCAAGAGTCACGAGCACCAGGGTGCGCACCCACAGCCTGTACAGGGCCATTCTACATCCAGGGGCAGGCAGCAGGACATCCCAGGACTCTGAGCAGCCCCTGAAGGCGACAGCCCCTGAGAGTGTAGCCTTGGCTCTTAATTGGGTCATGGAGCCCTGTCCAGTTGTCAGTGTGGTTTGGATTAGGCTGATGCAGAGATGGCAAGAGAAGCAGAAAGTGCCCTCTGCATTTTAACAAGCCAGCCCTTATTAAGAAGATGCAAGCAAACAAGCTTCCCAGGCTGGCTAATGAAGAAAGAATCTTCTTTCAGGGCTGCAAAGCACAAAAATGTAACTTGCATGGTGGTGGGCTCTTGATAAGAATGAGTGGAGAATGAATGAATGAGGCCAGCTGCAGGTGAAAGCAGATTGTTGGGTAGAGAAGAACTCAGTCGTCCCCCATCTCTGTCATCGTTGTCTTTGTTTTTAAAGCCTGTCAGGCCTGGACAAGTCACTTACCCTCCCTGAATTTGGTTTCTTCAGCTACAAAGTGGAAATATTCAGACACTCTACCGAGTTGGGAGGTTTCACAGTGAGGCACGGAAGTGCCCAGCAGAGCCTGGCCCAGACATGAGCTCTTGTCCTTGGCGGCACCGCCCCAGCCCTGCCTCCTGCCACTGAACGTGGCCCTCCGTTCATTCCTTTGGGGAAATTGTTGGACATCTGGGGGTGTGGCTGTTTTCGTTTCTTGTTTCCCTCTGCTCCCCATACCCTTTCCCTTGGAAGGCCAAATTGTCTCCCAGCCTTGAAGTCACTTTTCCTGTTACTGACCCATACTCATCCTGTCCCTCTTGCACAGTGGGAGAGTCCCAATGTCTTATGTCTCGTCTATGATGTGACCAATGAAGAATCCTTCAACAACTGCAGCAAGTGGCTGGAGAAGGCTCGGTCACAGGCTCCAGGCATCTCTCTCCCAGGTACGGGCTGCAGACACCCATGTTTCCCAGCGGCATCTCTGTCCTTTGGTTCAAGAGCACAAGGGCATTGCAGAGGTAGCTGTGGGTGGAGAAGGGGCCCTGGGCTTGGACTTTGATGGCCTAAGGCGTACACTGGCCCTGCCACTTAGCAGCCATGCCAACCTCGGTGAGTCACCACACACACCTCTCCCAGTCTAGGAAACGGGAATGAGGACACGCACCTGGCAGGGCTGTGGGGAGACTCAATAACGGGAGGGTGCTGTAATATCAGTTGTTAATTCCAGAAAGCTAACCCCAGGGAAGAGTTCCTAATTTTCTCTTGTATATGGGGTACAAGTAAACATTCAAGCCTGTTGTCACTTCTGAATGCTTTAAATCAGTTTATTTTTCGTCCCTATGTGAGATCAACAAATTCTCCTCATTATAGACCGGGGAAAGTGATCTCCAGAGACAGGCTCAAAAATTAGCTGCAGCTGATGCAGCTGGGAGCTGAACTAAATTACCTCTGAATCCCTGACTCCGAGCCGAGTCCTTAGATTACTATTAATGACCAGTTTACAGTTTGCTCCGTGTGCTCAGAATTATTACAAAGGCTCACATAAATTTGGCCCTCGCCTTCAGGCGTTTGCAGCCCTTTAAGGAGGCAAGGGAGACAGATACACGTGAGGTCTAGAAAAAGACCTAGCAGAAGTTGTGCATGAAAAGCGAAGCCCACCTGTCTCTCTGTGGCCCTTGGGGCCATCACGAGAGACCCCCGGCTTTCCCTGTGGGGGGGCTCACCACCTCGAGTCAGGCAGCTCTCAGAGGATGCTTTACACCCCTCAAAAATAGTGCTCTCATCTCGCCCGCTGTCCTTCCAGAGTGTGACAGTGAAGTGCCATATTTTGGTTGTTTCTTCTGAGTAGGTGTTTTAGTTGGGAACAAGACAGACCTGGCCGGCAGACGAGCAGTGGACTCAGCTGAGGCCCGGGCATGGGCGCTGGGCCAGGGCCTGGAATGTTTTGAAACATCCGTGGTGAGTATTTCCACTTGCCTCGTCGCCAAGTCTGGAGTGGGCCTCTGCTGGCAGCGGTCTTGCACATGACCTCACGTGCAGGGAGCTGTTATTCCACCATATGCAGAGTCTCATTTGGAACTGATGTTTACATTCTTACCCGAGATCTCTTCTCAGTATAGCAGTAGCTGCTCAGACATAACAGGAAAGCAGATCAGCCAGCCAACCCTGGGAAAAGGTGTATCTCAACTAGTAAGAAATACAAGTGCTTTGTGTGCGGTGATCATGACCCTCGACGTTTGCATGCAATATTCTGGGTTCAGATGTTGTTGGAACATTGTTTCATGTGGCTCTCACAACCAGTCCTGTGAACCAGAAGTTGGCCCCACAGCTCCCATTCCAGTGTTGAGGAGCTCAAGTGACTTGTCCAAGGTCCCATGATTAGCGAAGGGTGGAGCCAGGATTAGGACTCATGGCCTCTAATTCCCATCGGTACCACCCATCCTCACCTTGCTGCAGCCCCAGGGTGACTCCAGGCCACAAAGTGCCTGCCAGTTAAAAGAGCAGAAGACCTCATTACAAAAAGCAAGTGATTTTCAGCGTCTTCAGTACACTTTTCCTGGCAAAAACTGCAATTACTTTTGCACCAACCTAATGTATCATGATTTTAGCTGTCCAGCACTGAGGAACCTGCTTCCTGTGTTTGGGAGTTTTAAAGTCCCATCCTCCTTGAGGCCAAGATGCAGCCATGTGACCCAGGCTGCACCAATCAGACCCCTCACATGAGACTCCACTAGGAAGGGCATGAAGTGATGATCTGCCCTCTAGGAACAGGTGTGGCCCTGAACATCCATCTCAGAGCCAGCAGGGGCCCGAGTGTTGGTTGCCCTGCCCCTCGCCAGGGTTGCTAGCTGGGGAGATCACCAGGCCTGGCACAGTCATGGTCGTAACTTGGACCTCACCTTGTGGCCTTTAGACCTGATTCTGTGGCCCTCAGAATTGAGTCATGGGCTGGTTAATGTTCTGGAGGTCATCTTCTGCTCCAGCTTGACTTTGGCTCTAGGCACTTCTGCTATTGCATCTAGGAACCTTGACCAGTGCTGCCGTCCGAGCTTATAAAACTCCCCCAAAGCAGCATGCTTCCTTAGGGAAAGTACAGCAGTAAAGGCAGGCACTCTGACCTCCCATGGTGAGTGGCAGAACTCGCCGTGGGAACCTGGACATGTTATTTCACCTGTTGGTGGCTCAGGCTTGTAAAGTGAGGATCATAAAATACATCCCTTATCGAGTAATAAATATGAGAATCAAGTAATATGTCGCATATAAAACATGGATCACAGAGTCTGGCGCCTGGTAAACACTCAGTAGATGTTAGCTTTCTTAAAGTATAAATATTACCCCTAGAATCTTGTTTATACTGTTATTACTTACTAAATCCTTGTATTCATGGCTTGTGCAGAGATAAATATCACCCTTGCCTCTGGTCCAATTATCACAAATGCTAAATTAATGAAGCCCAAATCAGCTTTTCCTGTATAGAGGGTTTGCCATCTTTTCTGCAGCACACCT
Organism: Homo sapiens; assembly: GCF_000001405.40. Taxonomy (NCBI): domain Eukaryota; kingdom Metazoa; phylum Chordata; class Mammalia; order Primates; family Hominidae; genus Homo; species Homo sapiens. The sequence continues at coordinate 36,761,355 of NC_000022.11, read as the reverse complement.
TTGTGCAAAGCAGTAGGCGGTAGTGCCCTAGCAAACAGGATTTCAGTATTCTCCCTTCCTCCATTCATTTGTGAAATTGTCCCTGCACCCCAATATTCCATATTCCCTAGAACGCTTGATAGAACTCAGAAATTAAAACCCACCCCAACCTCCAAAACAGGAGTCACCAAAGGCCAGTGGGCTACGGGTTAAACTCTGTTGAGGTGTTGAAGTGGGTGGGTGGGTGTGAACTACTCTTGAAGAGGCTGCAGTAAGCACTTGCTATTATCTGTGCAAGTTAACTAGTCCCCCCTGAGTTGAGGCTCACAGAAGCACCGCTGGCAGCTCGGTTAAGAAAGCTGTAATTAAAAAGGAAATATAAGCAAACGCAGCTTGAGACGCAGCCAAGGGCTGGCGCCAAGCTCATCTCCTCCTCTCTTCTGCCTAAACACCGCAGTGACCATCCTGCCTACCCAAAGGAGGTCCCTACAAACAAGTGCAAGAACAATCCGCGCTGATCACTGCCCTCCCAGGCAAGCGAGGAGTGGGGAAGTAACGTTTGATGAGGGCCTACTGTGTGCTAGGTGTTTTGCACACATTATTTGTTTAGGCTTCATAACAGCCCTACAAGGTAACACTCCTGTGTTGTATAGATGACAGACTCAGAAAGGTTGTGTAGCTTGCCCTGGTTGCATAGTTAAACGAGGGCTAGAAACAGGACTAGGAGTCAGGCCTGTCCAGCTGGAAAACTTGGGTTTTCTAGAAGGGGTACCCTGGCCTCCTGCGGAGCCTGCTGTGGGACTCTGCAGAACACAATTCAAGGCCAGACTGAACACTAGCCTGAACCTGCCCTGAGAATCCCTCTAAGCCGACCTACTCCACAGCTGTCCTGACTGTGTAAGCGAGATGATGATTAGTGATCAGACGAAAGGATTCCTGTCATTGGTAACCCTCTCAAAGTATTTGGAAAACAGTTCAATTTTCATCTATTTCAGAAGCACGCCGTGGTGTCTATTGAGGCTCACCTGCATTGAATTCCTTCCTTTTTATGTTGCGATCTCCCAAGATTGCATTGTGGAGTGTTTTCGAATCCATTTTGAAATCCCCGTGCGTGCGCTATGCAGGCCTCAGTCTTTTTCCATTCCATTCTTAACTCTACTTTCGACGGAAGCAGTGTTTTACCCCGACACTGGCTTGCCTAGGACCTTGTGCTCTGCACAACTAGCAGGGCCCGGCAGGATGTACTGAATTCTTGCTCTCGTGTCCAGCTGGACGGTGATGGCTTTCAAGTCCTTGGCTGTTGGGAGCTTACTATAAATGTTCGTCTTGGCTACAAACTCTCCACTCTTTCCTCGGCACTCTCTCAGCATTGCCACCACTGTCTTTCCTCTTGGCCAACTGTTTTCTTTACTTAGGCTTTCCCTTGCTAGAAAGTCCAGGTAACTTTCTCCACGGGACCTGGTTTCCTTCGCACATCCCAGCTGGCCTCGAGGAAAGGTAGCTCTTCCCAAATCAGAGAATCTGGATGCTGGGCTGGGCTCTGCACCAACCAGCTGGGCCGCTTCACCCGCTGGGCCCCAAACTACTCATCTGTGAAGCGAAGGCACCGCGCTTGATGCCTTCTGCAACGTTCTTCAGTTTGGAAATCCTTCTGTTTCGTTGGGGATATTTCACGGCCTCTTCTCAAGGTTGCACTTTTGCCAGCTGCCAGGGATCGTCTCAAAACAGGTTCTTAGTGCATTCATAGCTTGAGCTGCTGTCTTGAAAGTAGTACATTCCTTTTTCTGCCAACTTTTTTCTGAGAAAGTTTTTGAATGCACACGTGCACCCAACAGAGTGAGAGTGGCTGTTAAGAGAGAGGGCGCCATTTCCTTTGCCCTCCAGCCTGTCCCTGTGCACCCTGGAGGGGCCCGTTTTTTCCACCGCTTAGATAAAATCTAGGGCAAGTTCCTGAACTTCTCTTTTCTCTCTCAGGTAACAAAAATTCTTTTGGGCTCCTTTAGTCACAAAGATATTCACGATTTCAGGTATTAAAGTGCCCAGCCCTGGGTGATTGTCAAAATTCTGAACTTGATTTAAAGTGGCACCTCCTCTCACAGTCTTCGGGAGGGAGAGACCGGAGCCAGGAGTGCAGCGTGTTTGCTGGGGTCTGTCGTGGCCCACTCCACACCTGCTGGGTGGATCCGGCTGGTGCCCCATGGGCGCCTCTGAGATGCCCCTCCCCACCCCATCAGTGGCGCTGTCTCACCTGCAGGCTGCTTCTCACAGGTGGTCCCCCCTCACTCCTCCTGCAGCCCCAGTTCCTGGCTGTTCATTCTTATTGGGACCCGTCACCCTCCTGGAGGCGGTCCCAGCCGAGCCCCCTTAAGACAGCACCAGGCTGGCTCCACTTGGCCCCCGCTGGTTCAGGGAAGTGCTGCTGCAGCCGTTTAGTTTGACAAAGGAGGCAGCGAGGCCGTCTCATTGGTAGCCCTCTCCTGGCTTGCCCAGCCACCACCTCACCTCGATTCCTCCCAGGCCTGGGTCCAGCACCAGCCTAGGAAGAGGGTGCCCCATGCTGTCTAGCTCTTCTTCGGGATGGGGGGCTCCAGGTTCCTTGGTATTTTGCTTTGGCCTTTGGAGCCTCAGTCAAAACTGAGGAAAGGTGTCATTTTCACATCTCGTCACACGTACAGTGACTGCAACTAAAAGCACAGGCTTTGTAGAAACAGACATGGGTTCAGGCCCCAGCTCCACCATTCACAAGGTGTGTGGCTTCCTGCAAGGTACCTTCATCTCTGAGTTACCTGACTCCATCTGAGTTTCCTTCTTGTAAAACTGGCATCCATGAAAGTGGCTACCTCGAAGGGCGTGAAGATGAAATGAGGTGGAAAGTAGGTAGCCCCCGAATGAGGGAAGCATTGAGTGAGAGCTGGCCCTCTGACCCTTCTAAAAGAACACAGCCAACTTTTTAAACTGTCTTTCCAGAAAGAGATGGAAAACTTCGAAGCCCCTTTCCACTGCCTTGCCAAGCAGTTCCACCAGCTGTACCGGGAGAAGGTGGAGGTTTTCCGGGCCCTGGCATGACGAGCTGGAGCAGATCGTGCTGCACAACCGGAGAAGACAGAATTACCTCTGCTCTTTTAATATATAATGATGGCTTTAAATAAAATTAGGAGAAAATGTCGAAGCAGCAGCTCCTTCCACTCTTGGCCTGGGTGGCCCTAGTTCCACTGTACACTTTGGCCACTGCGTCACTGCCGGTTCCAGGGCAGCCGGGAGCCCCACTTGGGACCCTGGCCCTCCCTTCTGTGAGGCTGGTGCTTCGGGACGTCGCCTTGCTCGAGGGGGTGGTCCTGCCCACTGCGCGGCAGGGTGCACCGGCTCCTTAAAGGGCCTCCCACTGCAAAAGCGAAGCCCGCAGTGGGTATTGAAAGGGCCTGGCCCAGCGTTTGCTTACGGTTTCCCACAGCTGAAATGCCCAGCTCAGAACCTGTCCCAAGGCTGAGATGGGGCTGATGGCCCCCTTATTCTGACAGAGTCCGTTCTGCTGCTTGCTCCTGGCTAGCCAGATGCCAGACCTCCCTGGAGGTAGTTCCTGTCACTGGCAGAACAGTGCCCTCTGCCGGCCTTCCTTGGTGCCTGTCTCTTGGTGGCAGGTCCAGCCTCTATGGCTGCAGGGAAGGCTGAGCGCAGGGAGGCCAGGGCTCCTGCCTGCCTCGGGGAGCTGGGCAGCTGGCATCATTATTTGCACTGAGCTTGACTGTTCTCCATCCTGTCTCTGCTGCCAGATTAATCTTCTAAAACACCACTTTCATCGTCTCACTCCCCTGATTAAAGACCCACAGAGGTGCCTCACCACCTTTTACATCAGGATGCCGGCCAAGGTCTGGCATCCAAGGCCTTCCCTGACTGTCACCTTCCCCCAGGGGTCTCGGCTTCTTTCAGCCCCCGTGCCCCAGAGGACTTCATCACTCTCCCTCCACAGGAGCTAGGGGTGTCATGCAGAGTGCCAGCGTTGGGGTGGACGGACCTGGGCCTGTCCCAGTGATAATGGCAATAATGGAAATTGCCCTGGTTCCTGTTTACGACCTGCCATGTCTCTACATGAGCTAAGCACATGTCATATATTCGCTAATTTAGTCCTTACAGTGCAGAGTCTTACCATCCCCCTTTTACAAATGAGGAGCTGGAGTCAGAGAATTAAGACACTTAGCCAAGGGGTGGCCGAGCCACGATCGTGGACGCCAGAGCCCGGCTCCCAGCCGCCGTCCTCTTCTGCCTCCTCCCGAGCTTGGCTGGGAGCAGGTGGGGGTTAGGCTGCCTCTCAAGGTCACTGTGAGAAGTGAAGTAACGGGTGTGCAGGGCATCTGGGCACACGGTGTCAGCCAAGGTCAGGCTCTCGCGTCCCCCTTCTTTTCCTGTTACTCAACATGAAGCCACTGTAGCGGCCGCGTCATGCCTTCAGCAAGTAGTTACCAAGGGCCTACCATTTGCCGGGCATTTTCCTAGGCACTAGCAACGCCAGGCTGCTGGTTTCGTGTCACATGTTCCAAAAGGGAAGGCTCACCATAACCAAGGGGATGCAGCGGGGACATTTCCGGTTGCCCCAGAATTGGTTACCAGGGCCACAGCTGTGGACAAAGATGCTAAATAAACCACCTCCTAAAGAGATCATGGAAGCTTAGGGCCAGCCCCCTTCCCCATGGCCCTAGTAGAGGCGGAAGAATTGGTCCTGCTGCTGTGAGCTCCCCTTCCCCCTACTCCCCACTCCTCCCTGTCTGTATAAGATTGGAATGGTCAAGAGAGATGGGAGTGAGGGTGGCCACTGTGTTGGTGAGTGGGTGCCCCCCCCATCACCCCCTTGCCCCGCCAAGGGAAGGAGGCCCAAGAGGATCCTCCTGAGACAGGATGCTGCCAGGAAGAGGGGGCTGGCACCACACCCCCAGCCGGATGCTCTCTGAGCTGCAGAAACCTGGTGCCAGCTGCAGCACAGGGTGGCGAGGGCACCCTTGGGAAGCTCAGCACACATCCCCAGAGCTGTTTGGTCCCCTCTGGGGGGCGTTCCATGGGGAGAGGCTTGGGGAGAAGCCTGCACCAGCAGTGGGAAAAGCAAGGACCGCGTCTGGAAGGGCGGCACGGGTGTTCCACGGAAGGCTCCTAGAAGGACCCACATGGAGTGGAGTCATGTGACCAGCCAGCCAGGTACTGACAAAGGGAGCTGTTTCCTACCTGGAAAAGGGCAGGGGGCCTCTTCCCCTGGCAGGGCTGGAGGGGAATGTGGCTGCCCCTTCCTGAGGAGACCCCAGCAACAGAGGAGGCTCAGCCCCAAAACAACCAAGTACCTCCCCCACCCCCTGCCACCACGGAGATAACAGATGGAACCAGACCCAGAGGAGGCCTGTGGAGAAGACACGCAGCTCCTCCCTGGCCCCTCTGTTCCAAGTTACTCCAGAGAGAGGAAGAAAAGATCTTGCTCCCCTCCCCACCCTTCTGGAAAAGAGATTTGAACAAACACTTTGGAAGCTTTGAGCTGGCCTGGCCTGCCTTTCAGTGACTAGGATGGTCTGAAACGTGTCGGGATCAGCCTGCTAGGAAGACCCAGCAGGAAGGGGACCTCTGCAGAGCTTGATGGAAAAAAGTAATTAGGAAAAAGTAAAATGGTTTTGTTTCAGAGCCCATGGATTCGAGATTCTCCAATAAACTGGTTCTACAAGTAAATAAATGATCAAGATAATTTGAGGCAGTGCAGATGACAAAACGGAGCTGAGATGGGTGTTGATTTGTGGGGTAACTGGTTTGGGGGGATAGGAAGGACTATGAGAAGAAGGGACATTTGCACTGAGATTCAGCAAGAAGGTCAGCAAGTGCAAAGGCCCTGAGGCACGAACAAGCTTGGAACATGGAGGAACTTAAGGCCGGTGAAGACATACCCTGGTGTGTGCCGGGGAAGGAGAGGAAGGTGAGATAGGGAGGGTCCACAGTGGGAGGAATTTCTATTTTATTCCAAAGGCAACAGGAAGCCAGAGGTGGATGGACATCAGAGCTTTTTTTTTTTTTTTTTTTTGAGAGTCTCGTTCTGTCACCCAGGCTGGAGTGCAATGGTGCAATCTTGGCTCACCGCACCTCTGCCTCCCAGGTTCAAGCAATTCTCCTGCCTCAGCCTTCCGAGTAGCTGGGATTACAGACATGCACCACCACGCCTGGCTAATTTTTGTATTTTTTAGTAGGGATGGGGTTTCTCTATGTTGGCCAGGCTGGTCTTGAACACCTGTCCTCAGGTGATCCACCCACCTCTGCCTCCCAAAATGCTGGGATTACGGGCGTAAGCCACCGCGCCCAGCCGGACATCAGAGATTTTACATCCTCACAGTGCCCAGCACTATTTGGGAACCTAACAAGTGGCTATTAATTACTTCACTTGCCTAAAGAACCCACTCTCAATGAGCAAACATTGACAAAATGCATGCTGCGTCTGCAGATTTTATTCCTGAAAGAAGGCATTTGCTGAATGAATGCTTGAATCAAGCAGTTGCTGAGCACCTACTATGTGCCAATCCCTGTTCTATATCTTGGGATTTTGTCAGTGAGTAACACAAAAATGCCTCCCCTCAGGGTGCTTACGTTCAAGGGGGGTGAGCGAGGTGTTTGATTGAATAGGTAAATTTTGCAGTCTGTTAGGTTGCAATAGAGCAGAGGCGTGCAGAGGACGTGCCAGGGTGGGGGCTGCAATATTAAACAGGGAAGTCGGGAAGACCTTCCTTGGAAGGTGATGTTTAAGCAGGATTTGAAGGTCATAGCACCTGGCACCCTCTAGGCATCATTGGCTCATCAGTGACCCCTCAGAGGTGGAGCTTGACCACTTTCTTTTCCTAGTGCCCAACGCTGGACCTCCGTAAAGTCCGATGAGTGTGGGAGGTGTGGATGGACACCAGAGATGCATACCCTGCCCTAGAATCACCTGCCATCCATAGAGGAGAAAAAGGAGCCGACTCTTGATTTCTAAACTCCAGTGGAACCCAAAAAGCGTTGATCTTTCAAATCCTGAGGGAGGTTAGAGGAACCGCCCCTCTGTCTCCTTTAGGATCTCCGAAGAAGGTTCTGTTTGTTGTCCTCCACGATTCTTGCCTTCTGTAAGAGCGGTTTGGCCTGGGACCTGGCCTCTTGTCCTCTTCCATGGCTCTGGGCTGGCCATTCCGCAGCATCTTTTAGAGCTGCCTCTTGACATCACCTGATTCAGCCAGAGAGGGCGGGGAAGCCGAGGTGACTGGGAGGGTGGACACACTGTGGGGCCGGTCGTGTTTGGGGTGGGTGTTCAGAAACAGTTGCCCAGTTCCAAAGCACTGCCTCTGTGACACCCAGGCCCTTCCCTGCCGCATCCATTCAGATGTGGATGGGGTAGGAGAAGCCCGCCAGGCAGGTTTCCCTGGACGGTGTTTCTGCTGTGAAAGGAGCCCTGTAGTTTTCCGTATCTGGGAAACATGCATTGGATAGACCATCTTCTGGAAGGAGAGATGGGGGCAAGAGGCAACCTGCTTCCATGTCTATAAATAAAATGCATTCATTTTGGTGCTAAAATGTTGTGGTTTTAAAAATGGAATACTAAAAACTTCCTGGCCCAAGCTGGAGTGGCAAGAAGCACAGATTCAGTTGATCCCAGGATGGGAACTGAAATTTACACTAAGCCACATCTACTGGACGATTGGTGCCCATCCTGGAGATGCAGAAGGAAGCCTTTGGTTTTGCACCTGTGCTTCCCATTCCAGCATTCATCTCTGTCCAGGGTCCTGCCCTGCATTGGAGATCAGGGAGGACTGAGGAGGTGGCCTGGAGGAGCTCCAGGTCTGCTGCCTAGGAAGGGTTTCCAGGACCTTGCAGGGAAATACCTGATGTTAGCCAGGGAAGAGAATTCCAGACAAAGGGAAGCATATGCAAAGGCCCTGAGGCATGAAGCTGGAGGCCCTCTTGGGGAACCGTGTGCGTTGTAGGGTTTGGGGAGAGACGGGTGCCCAGCAGGTGAGGTCAGAGACAAGGATGAAGCAAGAACATGGAGCTCTTTGTACCCAGAGCAGAGGAGTTGGACTTTCTCCAGAAGGGAGTGGAGAGCCATTATCAGAAGTGACTCACCTGGATTTTTGCTTTGGAAAGATCAGCCTGGAGGAATTGGAGGGTGGAGTGGGAGAGAAGGTGCCTGGAGGTAAGGAGACCAAGAGCTGATGGGGATGAGGGGTAAGGTAGGACAAGGCTTGCACCATCTCCAGCATTTGCAAAACTTGGGGAAATGTATTTTCAGCCCCTTAGAGTTGTCCTCATTTCACACACCCATCCTTTTTGTTCAGAACACCAATTGATTTTTAAAGTGTGTTATCCTTTATTTACTTTAGAGACAGAAAACACAGAGAGAGTGACTTCTCCGGGTTGCAAATTGTCAGTGATGGAGCCAGGATTAAGAACTCGGGCTGGCCAGCCCTCTGTGGATCGTATGATGTTTATGTATACGATGCCCATTCACTCTTCTGCCCTGCCAGCAAACAGAGCTGATGAATATGAGGAGAATGGCAGCGAAGAGCTTGTTTCCATTCTAAAAAGGCAAGAAGCCTAGGAAGGCTCATTAGGAGAAAATATTGAATGGGCAGCTTTCGAGTTTCACCTGTGATCTGAGAGGGAAAGTGTATTTTCACCGAAGCCATTATGTAACTGGTTCCGGGGGGCAGAGAGGAGTGACCAGAGAAGAGAATGAGGGCAAGAGACCAGGAGAGCAAAGACAGGGTCACCATCTAGAGGGCAGGGGCTACATCTGACATCCCCTGTAGACCCTCTGGATGCAGCCAAGGTTTAGAGGTTAGAGCACTGCTTTCATATCAGACGAGTGGAATTAGGATTGCAGCGGTGTGTCCTTGGACAAAGCACTGATCCTCTCTGGCCCTCAATTTTCTTGTTTATGAAATGGGAATAATACCACTAACCTTACCAGTTTTTGTGGGTGGATGGAGATATATAAAACCTACTTTTAGAAGGCATGATATATAGTAAACGTTCAGTGCTTTATAGGTGATTTCCAAATCATCTGTAGTAACTATGGCTTTTTTACAAGCATGGAAATAATGTGTGTTTATTTAAAAAAAAAAGAAACTATTACTAAAAAGCATAAAGAAGAAAGTAGAAAATATTCAAATCCTACCACTCAGAGATAGCCACCCATCACATCCAGGCATGTGCACCTCCTCCCTTTCTCCTCCACATGTACAAATATGTACATATTTTGAAGCCAAAAACAAAATGTGATAATGCCATATATGAAATTTGGAACTTATCTCTTTTCATTTAACAATATCTGGTGGGTATTATTTCAGGTCAGAAAATATGATTTTAGGCCAGGTGCAGTGGCTCACGACTGTAATCTCAACATTTTGGGAGGCTGAGGTGGGCGGATCACTTGAGGTCAGGAGTTCGAGACCAGCCTGGCCAACATGGTGAAACTCCATCTCTACTAAAAATATAAAAATTAGCTAGGCATGATGGTGGGCAGCTGTAATCCCAGCTACTCGGGAGGCTGAGGCAAGAGAATCTCTTGAACCCAGGATGGGGAGGTTACAGTGAGCGAGACTCTGTCTCAAATATATGTATCATATATATCACATATATATGATATATATATCATATATATGATATGTGATATATATGATATATATCATATATATGTGATATATGTGATATATATGATATATATCATATATGTGATATATATATGATATATATGATATATATATGATATATATGATATATATGACATATATGATATATATGATATATATGATATATATGTGACATATATGATATATATATGATATATATGTGATATACATCATATATATATCACATATATATCATATCATATATCACATATATATCATATCATATATCACATATATATCATATCATATATATCATATATAACATATATATCATATATATCATATATAACATATATATCATATGTATCATATATATCATATATATCATATGTATCATATATATCATATATATCATATATATCTCATATATCTCATATATATCATATATATCATATATAAATCATATATATCATATATATGATATATAAATCATATATGTATCATATATATCATATATGTATCATATATACATATATATGATACATATATGTATCATATATATGATGCATATATGTATCATGTATATCTCATATATATCATATATATCTCATATATATCATATCTCATATATCTCATATATCTCATATATATCATATATATGATCATATATGATCATATATGATATATATGATCATATATGATATATATATCCCATATATATCATATATATGATATATATGTGATTTTACATGGTCTTTTTATTTCTTTTTAAATCGTGAGAATTGTAAAACCTACACAAAAACAGAACAGCATGATGAACGCTCATTTACCTGACAGCCAGATTCGGAACTTCCAAGATCCTGCCGCACTTGCTCTGTCCTGCTCCCCTGCCATGATGGTGGTGGTTACGATCGTTTAAACCAAATGCCAGCCCTCCAGTCACTGCCTCTAAACCAACCACAAAGCCATTATCACACCACATAAAATTAATAGTAATTCTTTAGGAGCATCTACTGTTCAGTCCACAGTCAAATTTCCCTGATTTACTCCCAAAGGTTCTTTTGCAGTTGGTTTATTACGTGACCCACGCATAATGATTTCCAGTTGAAGGACACCAGGTTTCCAGGTGGTCACTCAGGAAAACAGCCAAGGACAGTGTCCCCTTGCACATATCTGTGGACCCCTGTCCAATTATTTCTGCAGGACATACATTCCTAGAAAGGGACATTCCAAGTCAAAGTCTACGTACTTTTTTAAAAAAGCTTTTAATAGCATTTGACAAATTGCCCTCCAGATAAATTGTACCAGTTTACACTCCTAGGAGTGGGGACTGGCACCCTGGACAGCTCTGGGTCGTTAATGAAAAGAAATTAGAGAGAGAGAAGGCAGGTGGAGAGAAAAAGAGAGAAGGAAGAGAGGGCTGGAGTGAGAGGGAGCAGAGTGACACTGCAGAGCTCTGGTGCCCCCTGGGTGCCAGCCTGCCCGAGCCAGAGAGGAGCTCAGAGAACCAAGGGTATCAACCAACCAGCGGCTGCACCAGATTAAGCCCTAAAGCAACGATTCAGTCGAGACCGAGAACAAAGCTGAAGCAAAGACTCTTCGATCCATTCTAATTAGGAGCTGCCTTTCCAGAGAAATCAAGAGCAGGCTGCCACGGCTGAAAGCAAAAAAAAGAAGGAAAAGAAAAAAACTGCTGCAACCCAGCTGTGCGCGAAGCTTGTCTGTTTTCTTAAAATCCCAAGAAAGAGCTGGTTCTACTGTGCTCACAGTCCAGGGGGACCCTGTTGTTCTGAGAGTTGTAGGATCCCACTAGGAGCAAAGATCTCTACCACCAAAGGTCAGGGTGCGTTCAGCACTGGGACCTCGCTAAGGACAGGGAGAGGGCGGGAAGGAGACCCATGTGTGGGAGCAATGACCTTGCTGTGGCGGCTGCTGCTGCATTGTTTGTTTTTTTTGTTTGTTTTTATTTTGTTTTGTTTTTATTTTTTTTGTTTTTGCTATAGCTAAAAACTAAAATTTATTTCAGGTTTGAGAAAAGCAAATAAAATTAAGATACATTTGAAGCATGGAACTACACACAAAAATGGAGAACAGGCTGGTTCTGGCCCTACAGCCTGTGCTGTTGGAGGTTCCCTCTTGGGTGGACGCCATGATGCATTGCTTACCTTCAATGTACCCTCTCCGGTTCACACTAGTATATTTATATGTTGATTACAAGTACCCAAAAAAGAACTAGTCCGTGGATAAAAATGACCTAATTTTCTTTTTCTTTTTTTTTGAGATGAAGTCTCATTCTTGTTGCCCAGGCTGGAGTGCAATGGCACAATCTCGGCTCACTGCAACCTCCACTTCCTGGGTTCAAGTGATTAGCCTGCCTCAGCCTCCCGAGTAGCTGGGATTACAGGTGCCTGCCACTACACCCGGATAATTTTTGTATTTTTAGTAGAGTTGGGGTTTCACCATATTGGCCAGGCTGGTCTCGAACTCCTGACCTCAGGTCATCCGCCCGCCTTGGCCTCCCAAAGTGCTGGGATTACAGGCGTGAGCCACTGCACCCGGCCCAAATGACCTAATTTTCAATTGACCAAGCCATTCCAACAGTAAGCATCAAATACTCTGAGATAAGGACTGTACTGAGTTCATAGTGCCAAGTCCAGAAATCCCCTGGTCACCATATCATTTATCAGATGGCATTTAAATTAAAAGCAGACAGTCAAAATATCACATATACCCCCCCAAAATATGTACAACTATGATATATCAATTAAAAAATTGTTTAAGGCATGTACCCTCTAGATTATGGTGGATTCTTGCAGTATGAAAGGAAGTTTTTAAGCAAAGAAGAAAGTTGCATGAACAAGTATCCTATTATTTTCAAAAAAATCAGCAGCTCATACATTGTATCTTGATTTTATTTCACATGGCAACTCTTTAAAGTGGCTGTTTGTGTCCCACTGCGCAAAAGAAGAAAATGCACCCCAGACAGATGACATGACACTTGGCTGCTTCTTGTGACCTCAGGCTCCTTCTCGACATCTGTGAGTCTTTTTTGCCTCCTGGCTCATTGCCTCATTGTAGATTCCAACAGCAGCAACCTTGCCCAGGGGCAAGCTGAATGCAAGGTACAAGCAGGGGCTTGAACCCCTGTGAGCCACACTGTGCTCCCAGAATCTCCCCCAAAGCCTCTTCCAGCGTGTTTCCTCTCACTCAACCTTCACAGCCACCCCAGGAAGCCAAGGCAACTGTTTTACGTTACGGCTGAGGACGCAATGGGCCCATGACCTGCGTTCCCCAGTGCAGGCTCCTAGCGATGTCACAGCTACCGTCAGACTCTGTGAATCTCAGGAAACCTCCAGAGGAAGGTCAGGCCCTTCCCAACCACCTCCCTGCAGGTGCTTGCTGATCTCAGGGGCAGAAGGTGGTGACGGTCGAGAAGCAATGTGGGGCGGTTTCACCTGCACGCGGCACCCAAGGCTTTGGAATCACACAGCCTCTGGGTGCGAGTCTTTGCTCAGCTCTACCTCACTGAGTGGCCTTGGACAAGTCACTTCGCCTCTCTGGGCCCTAACATCACCTACTTCAGATGTTTGCTGAGGGTTCACAGCCTGGCGATAGCTGCAGACCCCCCAGCCCCTGCTGAGTGGGACACTCGCCGCTCACCCTATTGTTTCGGTTGTTGCCGCTGCTGTTGTGACCCTATCCTGGATAATCCCAGGGGTGGAGTCTGCTGCCCTCCACCCTTCGTCCAAAGGAGCTCTGGGACTAGGAGGCCTGGGTCCCCGGTGAGTGACCCCTGGGAAGAGTGGCTTGCCATGGCCCCAGAGAGGACTGGAGAGAGGCCCAGCAGGGGCTAGGAGGCCTGAGCCCAGTCGGTCTCTTGCCCTGGCTGAGAGCGCCTTTGCCTTGGGGCCTCTGGCATGACACTAGTGGGTTAGCAATCCCTGGAGTCCTCGCGTCTCTCACTTCTTTGGGTTTCCACGCACAGCGTGCAGGCAAGAAGCGTTTAAGGAGCAGCCTCGACACAGAGCCCCTGTGTCTCAACAGGCCCTGGCTTTTTGACCACCAGCCACCAGCCAGGCCCCGCTGTAGGTGCAGGGGCTTAAGAGCTGGACAGGGCAGATGAGCCTCCTACTCCTTGCTCCATGGAGCACACAAGCTGGTGAGGGAGAGAGACAATAAGTCAGTTTGCAATCCCGTAGAAAACCACAGGTTGTAAAAATCACTGGAAAGAAAAGAACAGAACCCTCTATACAAGACTCCAAAGGAGTCTTAGCAGGGAGGAGGTGTCCAGCAGCAGCCTCTCTGTGGAGACATGAAGGAGCAGGAGTCAGGCAGTGAACGGGGAGTTGTACATTAGCCAGAGGAAATAGCATGTTTGAGGGTCCTGCGGCAGAGGAGGTTGGCCCACAAAAGGCCAGAACTCCTGGGCACTGAGTGAAGGGAGCACGGGGAAAAGAGTTTCCAGCCGAGCGCAGTGGCTCACACCTGTAATCCCAGCACTTTGGGAGGCTGAGGCGGGTGGATCACTGGAGGTCAAGAGTTCAAGACCAACTTGGCCAACATGGTGAAACTCCAACTCTACTAAAAACACAAAAATTAGTTGGGCGCGGTGGCGGGCGTCTGTAATCCTAGCTACTTGGGAAGCTGAGGCAGGAGAATTGCTTGAACCTGGGAGGTGGAGGTTGCAGTGAGCCGGAATTACGCCACTGCAGTCCAGCCTGGGTGACAGGGTAAGACTCCATCTCAAAAAATAAAATAAATAAAATAAACTAATAAAATAAATAAGAAGAGGCATCAGAAGCCCAGCCAGAGCTTGGGAGTTACCTGATGTGCAGGGGGAGGCCGCTGAAGGGTGTTGGTTGAGGGAGGGGGTGATGTAATTTTGGAGTTGGAGTTAAGGGATTGGGTGTCCTCACGGTTTCCCTCATTCATGCCTTCACTCATGAGACAGTTACAGAGCACCAAGGCTCAGCGAGGTGCAGGACTGGCCTGGGGCGGGGGGTGAGGGGAACCTGTGCTGTCTGACCCCCCAGCAGCCTCTCCAGGGCCTCCTCGGCTGGGCTGATAGACCTGTGTTTTAGCTTGAACCTCTGTCCACCACCCTTCAGGGAGGACCTCACACACGCCTTGGCCGGCGTGTGATGGGCACTCCTAGGAGGCATGTGGTGTGAGCCAGAGTCGGATTGGAACTCAGGATGGGAACAACGCCTGCACAAGGAGAACGTCCATAAACAGCTGCAGAAGACCAAAAGGGAGGGGTGGAGGAGGGAGTCCTCCCTCCACCATTGCTGTTGTTATGACCCAGCCACTCCCTGGGGGCTCACTCCCTCTGGAAAATGGTAGGTTAGAAAAGACCAGTGATTCTCTCTCTTTCTCTTTTGCTTTTTTTTTTTAAGAGACCAAGTCTCGCTATATTGCCCAGGCTGATCTTGAGCGCCTGACCTCAAGCAGTCCTCCTGCCTCAGCCTCCCGAGTAGCTGAGATCACAGGTGCATGCCACTGCGCCCAGCTTGACATTGATTCTATGATAACAGCAGCCCGTGGAATGGTGGAAGCAGCCAGACACACTTGGGAATTACCTTGGGTGAGTCTATTGGAACCTCAGCTTCCCCATCTGTAAAATGGGATGGTTGTTACTCCCTTGCTGGGCCACTGTGAAGGTGAGACGTGCCGTAGGAGCACGCCGAGCACATAGTGGGGGCCTGGCCAGGGCAGCTGTTCTCACTGCATTTCAGAGGGGGTGGCTACAGCAGTCCCCAGCCTGCAGCAGGAGCTCTCAGCAGAGCCCCCTTCTCTGTCCTCACCCTTCTGGAGTTGCCACATGTTCCCTTCTCTTGCAGCCTCTGGGACTCCCAACTCCCGAGAGAGTGGCAGACACCAGGATATGGCGGTGTTGCCCAGGGCTGAGCCTTGAGGTAAAGTAGGGATCCCACTCCTCCCCCACACAGCATGGGCAGCCTTGGGGCCTCATGCAAGACGGGCCCGGCACCAGCCCCTACCGGGTTGCAAAAGCAGTGCAAAGGCCCAAAGAAAGGTGAGTAATGGAGGGAGGGAGAGCCACGTGGGTCAGGGGGGCTCCAAGATCCCTGGACTGCCAGTGCTGGGTGGAGCAGGGAGATGCCTTCACCTACCCAAACCTCAAATCACATGGATGGGAAGATACAGGCCCAAGCTGTCCCAGTGCACAACCCTCGCAGCTCACACACTATGTCAGCTTCCCTTCTCTCCCTCCCTTCCTTGTGCAGGGCAGGGCTACTTTAGGGCTGAGGCAGGGAGGCTCAGAGAGGTGCAGAGACTTGCCCCAGCCACATGGCTGGCAGTGCGCCTCTGATCAGCACTTCCTCTGTGCCAGGCTTCCACCTCCTTCATCTTCTTTAATCCTTGCAACAACCTTTCAAGGTGGGAGTGATTTGTTTTTTGTTTTGTGTGTGTGTGTGTGTGTTTTTTTTTTAGACAGAGTCTTGCTCTGTCGCCCAGGCTGGAGTGCAGTGGCACGATCTCCGCTCACTACAACCTCTACCTCCTGGGTTCAAGTGATTCTCCTGCCTTAACTTCCTGAGTAGCTGGGACTACAGGCACATGCCACTGCGCCCGGCTAATTTTTGTACTTTTAGTAGAGACGGGGTTTCACCGTGTTAGGGTCTCGAACTCCTGACTTCAGGTGATCCGCCTGCCTCGGCCTCCCAAAGTACTGGGATTACAGGTGTGAGCCACCGCACCCGGCCGGTGGGAGTGATTTTGCCCATTTTACAGATGAGGAAGCTGAGGCTCAGAAAGGTGAAGCTGATTACTCTCGCATGCAGGGAGTGGGACTCGCATAGAACCTTTATTCATTTGCTCACAAAGAAGCAGCTCAAGCAGACAAGCAGGTGCCCGGGAAGGACCCTGTGGCTGGAGATGCTGGAGGAAAGGCCTGCAGAGAAACTGCTGTCCTTCAGGGCCTGTCCCAGGGTAAAAGGAAGACCCAGGTCATAAACACTGTGAACCGGGGGAGCTGGAACCCCTAGCCTGGAGGGTTGGAGAAAAAGTCCCCCAAGAAGGGTGGAGGGAGGGCTTCTGAAGTGGGGCAAGGGGCCAGTAATAACCCAAGGAAGCAGCTACTGAAGACCAGGCACATAGTAAGCCCCCAGCAAATTCCAGTTCCCTTCTGCTCCTCCCTAGGGACACCAGTCCTGCCGACACCTCAAGCCACACACTCAGGGGCTCAACGTGCAGTCAGGAGCTCCCCGAGGTGACTGCAGGGTGGCCAATGCCCCTTGCCACTCTCCTACCACTTTCCCCCACTCCAGTCCTGCCTCAGCTTCACCAGAGCCCCCAGGATCCGTGTCCCCTGCACCCTGCATGACTGGACGCCTGGGTCATATCACACCACAGTTTGCCACACCTGACTGCACGGCGCCCCTGGCCAGCCAAGCTGGTCAACACCTCCAGGACAGCGGCCAAGGCAGTGGAACCCAGCAGAGGTGGAGGAGAAGGTAGGACCAGCAGACCCTCCTGACCCTGTTCTGATCGCACTCACTTACAAGGCCATCTGCTCGGCAGTGCGGCGAGCTCAGGGCACTGGGGCAGACAGTGGCACCCGCCCAGACACGTGCTCGCCTCTGGGGCCTGGCCGGCTGCTGGTCAGGAGGTCTGGCTGGCCTTCTTGCTGCAGCTCCCAGCCTGGCCAGGCTGCAGGGGTGCCTGGCTCCCCAGCCCACACTGTCCCCAGGCCAGAGACCCTGAGGTGGGAGTATGGAGGGTCTCCATGACCTAAGAGGAAGGGGAAGGGGTTTGGGGAGGGGAGGGACAGAGGCAGGCAGTGCATGTCCTCCTTAGGACACACACTGTGTCCTGGTCTGCATGTGGACCCCAGGGCTCTGGAGATCACGAAGAGCTCAGTGGCCCCTGCCCGGCAGGTCCCCAGGGCCCCCTAGAATGACCACCGAAGCCTCCTAATCACCTCCTTACATCTGCTTGGACCCTTTTAATCCAGGTTCGCCTAGGTCTCCAGGGTGCCTGTGTTCTCACGTCATAACATGTCACCCTGCCTGTCTAAAGCCTTCAGAGGCCTCCCGTGCCCCTAGTTAGTGACCCAAATCCTTGCCCTGGTGTGCACGCACCTCACCAGGCTCATCTCGCCTCACTACCCCCACCGCCATCTCCTGGCTGTCTGTGTCACACACACACACACACACACACACGCATTTTTGGCACTTTCATTTCAAAGACCTTCCTTCAGTTTTGTTTTTCCTGGCTACTCTGTGTTAACTTCTTTGCGCCTCAGTTCCTTCATCCAGCAAATGGGATACTTAATAGTTTCTTAGTTTTGTTTCCTCCAAAGACAGACCCTGAGATAAGTGTTCAGGGACAAGTAGTTTCTCTTGGAGGTTGCCCCAAAAGTAGCATGGAGGGGTGGAGAAGTGAGACAGGGATGGACCAAAAAAAGCCAACAAACTGTGCACTGCTCTGGGGGTACCCCTGCAAGCAACAGGGCCTCTATCGCCTGAGGGCCTCTGAGAGGCAGCATTAGCAGGAGACACCTCAGATCTGCCAGCCGTGGGGCAAGGAAGCTGGGGTATTTACACTCCAGCTCCCATCCGTCATTGGTGAGGGGAAGCAACAACTCCCAGCACTCCCATCCTGAGCCTCTCAGGCCTGCAGAGTGACCCAAGATGCTGGCAGCAAGCAGAGAACTGTCTTCAGGGTGCCCCTGGGTTGGGCTGAAGGAACATGGGCAGGACATTAATAGCCTCTGCTTTTGTTAGCTTCGCTCTCAACAGTGCTGTGCAAATTATAGTGCTTACCACGCTGTCTGGCACATAGTAAGTATTCATTGAGCCTCAGCTGGATTATAATTAATAATAATAAGGGCCTGTGATGATTAAGGATTAAGTCATTATGTTTCCTCCCTCCTCAGGGCCCTTGCCCAGGCTGTTCCCCCTGCCTGTCCCTCCTCTGCCCAGCTTCTCTCCACCTGGTGAATGAGTTATTCTTCAGCTCACAGCCTAAATGTCACCTCTTCCGGGAAGCATTCCTGGCACCACTGGTTTAAATCAGGTCCCTCCCGCTTAGATGTGCTCAGAGCTCTGACTCTGCCCCTTTTCTTTTTCTTTTTCTTTCTTTCTTTCTTTTTTTTTTTTTTTTTTTGTGTGAGACAGAGTCTCGCTCTGTCACCCAGGCTGGAGTGCAGTGGCGAAATCTTGGCTCACTGCAACCTCCGCCTCCCGGGTTCAAGCAATTCTCCTGCCTCAGCCTCTCAAATAGCTGGGATTACAGTCGCCTGCCACCAAGCCCGGCTAATTTTTGTAGTTTTAGTAGAGACGGAGTTTCACCATGTTGGTCAGGCTGGTCTCAAACTCCTGACCTCAAGTGATCTGCCCGCCTTGGCCTCCCAAAGTGCTGGGATTACAGGCGTGAACCACCGCACCTGGCCTCTGCCCCTTTTCTCTCGGAGCATTTCATCATCGCAGTTGCCACATTTCCATGGCTGGCTGTGATGATTTGCTTGTTGCCTGTCGCTCCTGCTGGACCAGGAGCTCCATGAGGGCACAGGCTAAGTCTGTTTTGTTAACAAAGACGTGTCTGGGGAGGAGCCCAGTGTCAGCACGCAGGGAGAGCTGGACCAGGCACTGGTGGAGTGGAGAGAGAGGAATCTGAGGATCAGTGGGGGAACAGGCACAAACTGAAAAGAACACAAAGAGGTGAATTCTAGACTACAGCCATTGTGAACTAAGTAGCTTTAAAAAAAAAAATTTTTACCCCCATCTCAGGGGTTTCACTCTGTCACCCAGGCTAGAGTGCATTGATATGATCTTGGCTCACTGTAGTTTCAACCTCCTGGGCTTAGGTGACCCTCTCACCTCAGCCTCTCGAGTAGCTGGGACTACAGGCATGTGCCATCACACCCAGCCAATTTTTTGTATTTTCGTAGAGATGGGGTTTTGCCATGTTGCCCAGGCTGGTCTCAAACTCCTGGACTCAAGTGATCTGCCTGCCTCAGCCTCCCACAGTGTTGGGATTACAGGCGTGAGCCACCACGATCGGCCTAAGTAGCTATTTACGATGTAAATGGACAGACAAAGCTATGTGTCTGTGGGACCTACTTCATTTTCCTCCTGAGCATCCAGGAAGACTACATTTCCCAGCCTCCTTGTAGCCTGCTGGGGTCATGTGACCATCTGTGACCAATGGAGTGTGGGAGGAAGTGATGTGCAGCATCACTCCCAAAGGACCCTCCACACACTCTCTTTCCAGACTTACCAACCCCAGAGCAAGTATCAGCACACCTCTTCTGTAAACACTCGAGGGCAAATATTCTGTTTTCTGGGCCACACAGTCTCTGTCGCAGCTACTCAACTCTACCATCGAAGTGCTAAAGCAGCCCGTGTAACTGAATGAGTGAGGCTGAGTCTCAATAAAACTTTATTTACAAAAACAGGTCATTGTTTGCAAACTTCTGTGCTACAGGATGGTGGGGCCACTGGACAGAAGGAACATGAGCCCCCATGTAACTGGGGAGCAAAGCCCACCTGCCTCACCACAGCCAACTCTCATTCAACTGAGTGAGAACTAAAACTCTTGTGTTAAGACACTGAGGCATTTGGCATTGTTGTTATAACCATTAGAATATCCCAACTCATATGGAATGTCACAGAGGAGGTGACAGTCATCTTGGGCCTTGACAGATAAGTAAGTCATGCTCCAGGTGGACAAGATGAGGAAGGGCATTCTCAGGGAAGATGGAACCCATGTGATCCAACCGATTGAAGGGTGGAGTGGAGTGTGGATGATATCAGAGGGCTTGTGCTACAAAACGACATAAACAGTGGTTATAAGGGAGTGGAAGTAGGAACCGAATGTGTGAAGGACAAAACAAGGGAGAGAGGGATGGAAAGGGATCGTGCACTTGGCTGCCTCTGTCTCCTAATGCACCTTGCATTTCCTACCATTTCTGTGTCTTCATCCATGTGGCACCCCTGCCTGCCATGCCCTCCCTTCTTCTACCTGCTCAAGTCCCATCCTTCCTTCAGGACTTGATGAAATCCCTGCTGGCTCCATGTGCAGAGAAGCAACAGGACCCATCAGCAAGAGTGCAGGCTTTGAGGCCAAATAGTCCTGTGTTCAAATCCTGCTCTGTCAATAAGAGAAGCTAAAAAATGAACTATTAAATATAAAGGAACCAAGACTTCCTTGGCTTGAAAACTTTCTTCCTTCCCAAAATAAGAAATGACTTCCAGGCAAAGATTAAAGCCAGGGTCATTAATAGGAAAATAGTTTAAAGATGAATCCAAGGACATAACTATAAAGCCTTTTATTAAGACCTTAGAAAGACTTAAGGTGGTACCTCATAGACCTTTTCAAGCAGACAAAGGCCTTCTAAGGATCTTAACAGCATATGTTGAAGACCCTTTCTGTTAAATAATAGAGCTTCTAAGAATCATAAAGGCAGCCTTGCCAAGAGCCCAAGGTGAAAAAGAGATTTGTGGATATGGCTTTTGTCTAATGGAAGGGATTATAAATTGACTCATAAGATAAGAAACCTACACAATTTTTAAAGGGCCTGTTTTGGCTTTGAATTAAAGGGTTAGAGAGGGCACCAAATGAAAAGAGAGATTTTGGACCATAAAATCTTCATGGGCAGAAAGCAAGTTAAGAAAAACTGCTCAGCTGCAAACACTGGACATTTCTTACAGAAACCCAAGGGTGGTCCAGAGGAAAGAACCAAGAGGCCAGAGTCAGGAGCCATGTGGGGAATCTTTCCCAGGCAGTTGGACTGAGGACTATTCCAGGAACTGGCAATATGTGCCATAATAGTTCATTTTTTAGCTTCTCTTATTGACAGAGCAGGATTTGAACACAGGACTATTTGGCCTCAAAGCCTGCACTCTTGCTGATGGGTCCTGCTGCTTCTCT